>NC_000010.11:52415822-52567337 GCF_000001405.40 Homo sapiens
CAAAAGGCGGACTCATTTTTGCTGAGTTGTCCTGGCATTTAACCTTCTTAGTGGATAGAGCAATCTTTAAATGCAAATATGTACACATGCACACACACACACATAAATGCACACATTCTTGTCTATTTATATGTCATATGTATTTTAAAAATCATGAGTTCACCTGCATACCTTCATTTCCAAGGCAAAACCTCGGGATACTTTCTAGGCTTTCCCCCTTCAATTTTATAAACCCTTTTTCAGACAGCAAGAAAGCTGGTTTCTCTATATGGTGGTTTATTTGTTCAATCCCCATCTGTAGCCAATCCCCTTAATCTGCTGGTCACTTCTTCTCCTTGGTCCCTTTTGTTGAACTCTGTGCCTTCATGGTTCCTCTCTTGATACCTTTGTCACCCTGCAGCCACCATAGTTCTGTGACTTTTTAATGGATATTGTTTGAGCTATATAATTTAGAAATGAAGTGTTTGAAAATCACTATAGATTCCCAAAGAACAACAAGGTCATATTGGTTTGGTCACTGCCTAAATGCCAAAAAAAAAAAAGGTGTTTGTTGATATTATTTTAAAGGTCACCAACTTTAACAGTCTTGTTAGCAGACTTACTCTTACGAGCCAGAAAATCTTTTATCTTACTAATCAAATATTCTAATCGCAATGTAAGCTCCATTCCTCTATTTTGACGCTCTCTCTCTCTCTCTCTCACACACACACATACACACACACACACATATAAATGAGCTCATCTCCTGCTATCATCTTTTAGAAAATATTTAATGATCCAAATCACCCTTTGACTTTCCTCCTTTATTTTAAATGAATACTAATTTCTATAATATTTCCTCATAGAAGGCATTTTATAACACTCAAATTATTTTGAGGTCTGTAAGAGCAAGAAGAAATTATTTAACCCAAACTACCAATTAATTGATTAACTAGTTAATTAAATATATATAAAGCATCAATTCCAGACACTCTGGCTAGTTGCTGGAAAAACAGTGAGAAACAATACAGAAAAGGATTCTGAGTTCTGAAAATTTGATCCTATATATAATAAAAGTTAGTGTCATACTGACCCTGAATTTCTCAATTCACTCAATTCCTCCATCTATCCACCATACTATTTTTTTGTGCTTTGTTTGGACTCTCTCTGATTTCTTACTCGGAGATTATAAACTAGTAGCCTCGTGGCCAAATCTGGACAGAGTTCACCTATACAGGTTCAAAATCGCTTTTCTAATCAGTTATTAAAATTTGGAGATTTTACATAAAACTTGGGATGCAAACTTCTTTTGAAAAATCTAGTCAAACAACACTAGTTCTACATCCCTACATGGCAAAAACTAGCTGAAATCAATAGCTTCTGATCCCCTTTAGGTTGTGGAGTCTTTGTTTAACTACCGACTCCATCACTACATATAGCGTCATACCCAATCTGCTTTTTTTCTCTTGCTTAGATTTCTTTTTATTGTTTTTAAAATTGAGAGATAAAATTATATGTATTTATTATGATTGTTAATCTACTTCCCCCCTGCCTGGTCTTTTAATGCTTGGTTTGCAATTTCTGCTTTATATTCTCATATTATAGTACACAAAAACTTAACTACTTGGCACATCACTAATTTCTTTTTTTGAGACTGGGTCTCACTCTCTCACCCAGACTGGAGTGCAGTGGCCATATCTCGGCTCACTGCAGCCTCTGCCTCCTAGGTTCAAGCAATTCTCCTGTCTCAGCCTCCCGAGTAGCTGGGACTACAGGTGCACACCACCACACCTGGCTAATTTTTGTATTTTTAGTAGAGACAGGTTTCACCATATTGGCCAGGCTGGTCTCGAACTCCTGACCTCAGGTGATTCACCTGCCTCGGCCTCCCAAAGTGTTGGGATTACAGACGTGAACCACCATGACCAGCCCACATCACGAACTTTTATGTGCCATACAACTTATAGGAAATTCATGAGCTAATGTGTAATAATATTTTAAGATTGAATCCTCCATAGTATCTAATACAGTGATGGCAAAAATTGGATGGTGATACTCGTTTCAGGAAATTAAAATATTAGCAAGTAAGTCTGATTCATAATTAGTTCTGGTCCCTAAGAATTCCACATTTTGACTTATGTGTAATACATGTTTTGCTCCCATGTTTTCATATGATTTGATTTTGCTACACAAATTGTATAATACTTAATGCATTTTGATTCCATGCTTGTTTTTAGTGAGTTAACAAAAGCCCTCTTCACAGTCATATTTTCTACAGGCAATCCATTTTCCCTTCATGTTATAATATTTTGTACTTCAAGTGAGGTTCTGTGCTCAGACAAGCCTAGGTAGAGTGTACTTTAGCATACTCCAAAATGGTCTTTATCTTTACCTTTGCTGAGCATTGACTATACCTGTTAGCAGTCACTATATTTTTTTGGCAAGGGTTTGTGTCTGACATTCAGTTTACTAGATGAATAAGTTTAAAAAATAGCTTTCAGAGAATCTGTAGGATAATAATTTTAGATTAATGGTGGGAGAATTTCTCAGATATTTTGCTACTTGGATTTGTGTGTGAGTGGGCATAACACTCTGTAAATTCACTTCAAATAAAATAAAAATAAGGAGCCCACTCTTGTGGAACTGAATATAGAGCCCCTTTCCACATTACCCAACTTTTTCCATACAAAAGGAGTTTTGGTAGATGATGTCGTTTCTTAGACTGATAAAAATTGTTAGTACAGTTGAGTGACTGTATCACTATCTCTTTCAATCTGAATTGCATTATTCCTGGGCTCAAGCAATTATCACTTAGCCTTTTCCTTTAGTGGCATCTTAGGTTTAGTCCAGGTAGTTTTGGAGTTTGGATGACTAGGTAGAAATAGTGCATTTTGGTCTTGAAAATATGAGTAGTATTAAGTAAATACATGTGAAAATTTCACAAAAGTTAAAAATAAAATTTGTTCACTAATGTGAATATTTTCTACAACTTACAGGTTCTAAAATAGCTCTCATAAAAACACGTAGTTTTCCACTGAGGCACATTCTTTTCCCTGTAATATACTTACATTAACCAAGTAATATCTGCATTTTCCTCCCTTCTGTTTCTTTGTCTCTTTTCTGGGAATATTCAGAAAGTAACATTAACTTAGTATTCTTTCCATCCCTCTCAAGAAAATGTGACTTTTCAAACGACAATAACGTGGAAATAGGGACATTCCGAGTTTGAAATTTAGCATTTCACCTAGTTTTTCTTCATGAGGTTTTATCTGAACTTAAGAAATAAAAAATTAAATTAAAATTATAAAACAATTACAAATATATCTGTTTACCTATGAGAGATGTCTGGTTATTTGGGTATGAATAATGCCAATGAAGAAAAAAAAGAAAAAAAATTGTTCATTAGCAATCTTAATTAAAAGAGAATTATAACAACTGTCACATGTTTTAAACAATATGGAAATTCCCTTCTGCCAAAATATACTTGGCTTCTAAAAGTGGGGAATGCCTGCATATTTGTTTAAATATTTAAATTACCTTTGGGCTTTGTCTTATGATAAAATGATATTGTCTATTCATTGTTTTTCCTCTATCTGTTGGTTTCTTCTCTTTCCAAACCCAAAGGGCATGTCTGTAAGGGTCTTGCCTGTTGCTTGAATGAAGAACATATTTGTAATAAAAGGTTGTTTGTTAGAGGGTGGGGCCATTTCACAATAAAGGCATTGATATTAAAATGGTAAAATTTGTGAGCTTTTTTATGAATAGAGACTTCCAATGATTTTTCAAATGTCTATATAAATGCACTATGAAATTTGACCAGAATAGTCTTGGTTAAAAAAAAAAAAAAACAAAAAGGATAACATTGGCTGAATTACCTTTGAATGTTTCCAATTTAGAGGCCTTCCCTCCCTTGAAATATTCCTTTCATTTATGCCTTCCTGTAAAGGCCAACTATTTTTGAGCTCTGTCACCAGAATTTTATACTCTAGGGCCTGTTTTGTTAGGGAATCCTGAGGGCTGCCTGCTATCTCAGCTTTATGATTCTATCCCATTATATACCACATTTTATCTCTTCGGAGTCAGGTTTTTTGTCTGTTAAATAGTTTACGTATCTCCACCCATCTTTATTTTGCAAATTCCTAAAAATAAGATAAACAACAGGTAAACAAACCATACTAATATACTAAAAAGAAAGGACTATTTTTCCTATTTCACAAGCAGATGAAATATATATTATATAATGAATATATGTATATCGAAAGTCTGTTTAGCCGTCTATCTCTATGTTTGTATATTTGCATTTTACATGATGTTTTGGTGACCATACCTTTTCCTTGCTTATTTTATTTTCATAAAGAAATTGTTTTTTCTTGATATTGCAATTTACAAATCAACATTCTTATAGATATACATTTACCAATACCATTTAAACCAGTTTTTTTTTTTTTTTGCAAGATTTATCTCATGCTCTCTGGTTAAATTAAATAATTTTATAGCTGATGTAAATTATTAAAAGTCATGCTGCTTTGTAGTTATAATTCATAAGAATTGAAGGCAATATTATTCCATAATCCCTTTCTCAAAAAGAATTGTCTATTTTTTCTTTTGCATTATGTTAATATTGAGGTTTCAAGATTCTTTTTGCAGTTGTGATCTAAATAACCCAGAGGCTCTGCAAAGATTTTTACTGGTTTTCCACTGTCCTGGATTTTAATTGGCATCCATGACCAATGTAGAACTCAGCGATGACTGGTTGAAGCTGCCTTTGCAAAATTATGACAGTGAAAGAGTGAGCTAACCAATTTCATCTTGCCTTTAACCTCCAAACTGCCTTTGGTCATTCCTGGGAGTGGGCCAAGATAACTTTGGGAGTGATTTATGGTTCAAATGATAATAGCCCTTCCCAAAATTAAGCCACTTTTATAAAACTAATAAAAGACCTGAATTCTGTTAAAAAATAGGTGTAAACAGTCACCAGCCATTGTTCTGGAGGCCACAAGATGTGTAACTTCCTCAATTACTCCTGTAAATGACATCACTGTTGTAGAACCTCAGCTTGGCCTTTTGAGATATCTTTTCAGACTTTTTCATTTCTGATAATGGGTTGACTCTGGGTCACCCAGATCCGTGACTCATGACAACCGGCCCTGTGGCTCCCACGCAGAAGTGGACTTAGTGCACAAGGACCATTTTCCACATTCCTTGGATTGTATCTCCAACGAATTAGCAGCAACCATTCCCTAGCCCACTGCCTGCCAAACTATCTTTAAAATATTGTAGCCTCTAAATTTTGGGGAAGGCTAATTTGAGTAATAATAAAACTCCATCTTCCATTTAGCTGGCTCTATATGTATTAAACTCCTTCTCCATTATAATCCCCCTGTCTTGATAAATGGACTCTATTTGGACAGTGGGCAAGATGAACCCATTGGGCAGTTATATGGCAGGGGAAAAAGTCACAAAATGTGATTTTAAGAGTCATCTTGGTCAGGCGTGGTGGCTCATGCCTGTAATCCCAGCACTTTGGGAAGCCAAGGTGGGCAGATCACCTGAGGTCAGGAGTTCGAGACCAGCCTGACTAACATGGAGAAACCCTGTCTCTATTAAAAATACAAAATTAGCCAGTGTGGTGGCGCATACCTGTAGTCCCAGCTACTCGGGAGGCTGAGGCAGGAGAATCACTTGAATCTGGGAAGCAGAGGTTGCGATGAGCTGAGATCACGCCATTGCACTCCAGCCTGGGCAATTAAAGTGAAACTCCGTCTCAAAAAAAAGAAAAGAAAAGAAAAAAAAGAATCGTCTTAAACTTTAGCTTGAAACCTGAGCAACCCAGTGGAGAGCATTAGCCCTCTTGCTTGGTCCTTAAATGTGTGTGGGACCTTCTGCCTTTGTCCTGGCTGTTCTTCCTCAAATCTAATTTTCTCACATTTTTTAGTCTTTACCCAAATGTAATAGTTTCAGTGTAGCCTTCCCTTGGACAATTGACTAACACTACATTTTACAGGCTAGAATAAATGTTTGTTTTAAATGTACTATTTTGTTTAAATATTGGCCTAGTTAACATTCCCTGTGTAAATACAAACTATTTTTTCAGATAAAAAAATAGACAATATGTTTAAAATTACATCTTATCACCATCTAACATATATTTTTATTGATTGATCACATTTGTTTTCTGTTTCTCCCACTTGAATGTAGGCATCACAAGATCAAGGATTATTTATGTTTTGTTTCTGGTTCTCTAAGGTCAAGAGCAGAACCTAGTACCTCATAAACACTCAAAAATACATGTTAAATGAATGCTTCTTGCACTTCATAGCCTTAGATCAGCACCAAAAAGTACATTTGACAAAAAAACACTAGACCAGCTATTAGTGTGATTCAGGAGATATGCCTTCCTTTTCTAGGAGAAGCCCCTATTCTATCAGCAGTCTCCAATCATAGGTTCCCAATGGTGGTCAAGAGGTTGGTCACTTGGTATTTCAAAAACCTGAAAGAAATTGTACACCCAGACAAAGACGAAGTCTTTTCTTCTCTCACTGATTGGTATGGGGGTAGGGGACTGGTAAAGGTATGAGTTTGGGGTGGTGCAAAAAAATGTTTCATCAAATATTAATATCTTTGATTAATTAAAAATGGGAAAATAAATTATATAATAGTTCATTTGGCTTGAGACCACATCTCTCAAACATTTGTTCATAGTAAAGTATTATAAAACAGCTTTTAGTGGTAAAAATATGAGGACTCTCATTTTATCTGTTCAATTTAGAATGTGTTAAGTATGTAATGTGATCTTTGTATAATATTGAAGTGCTATGGAGGCATAATTTAGTGACTGGTCCTAAACTTCAAATGGTTATAATCTACATAGAATAATAGAGGACATAAAATGATAAAATATAAGAAATACAAATAATAAATTATACTTTTACTTATTTCTTATTGTATAAATATATGTATAAAATGCATAGATATGTATAAATACATAAATTATGTCTATAAATTATAGATAATGAAATGCTTCTCTAAAATGTGATATTAAATAAAATGATGCACAGTGAACAGAGGAGTTGATGAAAAAGTGTTTGATTGAATTTGTTTCTATCTTTATAGAATTCACTGGCCAAACAATTTGAAGAAAATTGGAATATAAGGTAATCTGTCGTCAGCTGATTCAGGAATAGACTCAGATGTGTATTTTTTGAAGATTCAGATGTGTATTTATGACGATGACTCCTTATACTCTGTGCAGAGTTCATTCTGGTGATTCCCACTTTCTAGCTACTTCAGTTCTGATAAATGGAAGACCATCGTATAAGTGGAGGACTCATGTTACAGGTAAGCTCCCTTTTTCTAAATCAGCAACAAATAAGTATCCTCATGATAAGATCTCCAACAATCAGGCATCCTGCCAATTTACTACTTAGATAATTACATTTTGTCAATCTAAATCCCCTATGTAATTGTATCAGGATAAAGTCTTAATTTTCTATCCATTAATGTTCTTTCATTTTATCTTAGAAGTGTTTGCATTTTTGTAATTCAGAAAATAATTGTAAGGAATGATTCTGATCATCTGGTATGATCCTGAGAAATGTAAAACTTGTGCAGAAGAATCTCTGTTCTTCTCTGGCCTTCTAGCATCCATATCTCCTTATTCTGAAACTAGCACACCAGTCTGTGCTATCAGTCTGTGAGACTTTGGGGTGGTCTAATCGGGCTTGTCACGTGACTCAGTATTTTCGTGCCCCTGGCCTCAGTGACTGGTTCAGGGAAGAAAGCTGACCTAACTAACTCAACCTGAGCTTAGTCATACATTCAATCAACATTGAGCAAGATACCATAACTTCTGGGGATATAGCAGTAAGAACACACAGAAAAAGCCCCTGTACTCACGGGGCTTGCTTTCTAGTGGAAATGTTTTCTGTGATTAAAAAAAAAAAAAAAGACATTCTTCTGGGGAAAGAGACATTCTTTAATTCTGCTAGACTTAGAACTCTGAGCATGTAAGTGTGGAGCTGCTGAAACCTAAGAAAGAATTCCAAACAGAAGAAAACGCAGCTGAAATAAAACAAGTGAAATGAAGCTTGAATATCCCTCAAGTCACAATATGTCTGGTCGTCCTTTGAGCCCTTGGATGTCTAAAGTTAGCCTGACACCTAGATTTTCTTTTTTCTTTTCTTTTTTCTGAGACGGAATCTCACTTGGTCGCCCAGGCTGGAGTACAGTGGCTCAGTCTTGGCTCACTGCAACCTCTGCCTCCCGGATTCAAGCAATTCTCCTGCCTCAGCCTCCCAAGTAGCTGAGACTACAGCGTGCACCACCACACCTGGCTAATTCTTCTAGTTTTAGTAGAGATGGGGTTTCACCATGTTGGCCAGTATGGTCTTGATCTCTTGACCTGATGATCCGCCCGCCTCAGCCTCCCAAAGTGCTGGGATTACAGGCATGAGCCACTGCGCCCGGCCAGACACCTAGATTTTCAATGATATGAGCCAATTAAATATTTTGGATTAACCCAGTTTTGATGGAGTTTTAGCCACTTGAAATGGTAAATGTCCTGATTTACCTGCCAACAGTGATCTGGGTACAGTGTCACTACAGTTGCACCCCGCTGTGTTTATGTGTAGAAATGATGAAACAGATCTGTATGATCCATCTATGGGCTCCCAACTGGGCTCTTGATTGACCTGGCATAGCCTGAAGAAGAACAGATCAGGAAGACGTTTTTTAGTGTTATTGCTAGTAAATTTTGCTAGAATGAGTCAGGGACACTCTGAAGTAGGTTACAACACTTTATAACAGTGGGTTTTAATGTTTTCAAATAATTTATGACCAATTTGAGAATCCAACCAAAGCTATGGTGGCCAAATGCTTATATACAAATCCTATTAAAATTTTCCATACATTTTCAAGTTTTCCAAACACCCCCCGAAACCTCATGGTGTTTCTAAGTTATTTTGTGCCATCTAAACTTTTATTTATTGTCCTGGTCTAGAACTCTTTCCACAATTTACCTAATGTCTGAATACTGAAAAAATAAAACAAATAAACTGCCCAAGGGATTCACCTTGCCTGTTGCCTAGACAGAGCCTATTGATCAAGACAGGGGAATTACAATAGAGAAAAAGTAATTCACGCAGAGCCAGCTATATGGGAGACCGGAGTTTTATTATCACTCAAATCAGTCTCTCCCAGCATTCGTGGAGCAGAGTTTTTAAGGATTACTTGGTAGGTTGGGGGAAGCCAGTGAGCCAGGAGTGCTGATGGGTCAGAGATGAAATCATAGGGAGTCGGAGCTGTCTTCTTGCCCTCAGTCAGTTCCTGGGTGGGGACCACAAGATCAGATGAGCCAGTTTGTTGATCTGGGTGGTGCCAGCTGATCTCTTAAGTACAGGGTCTGCAAAATATCTCCAGCACTGATCTTAGGAGCAGTTTAGAAGGGTCAGAATCTTGTAGCCTCCAGCTGCATGACTCCTAAACCATAATTTCTAAGGTTAATGTTAGTCCTACAAAGGCAATCTAGTCCTCAGGCAAGAAGGAGGTCTGCTTTGGGAAAGGGCTGTTACCATCTTTGTTTAAACTATAAACTATAAACTAAGTTTCTCCCAAAGCTAGTTCACCCATGTAGGAATGAACAGGTACAGCTTAGGGGTTATAGGTTAGAAGCAAGATGGAGTCAGTTAAGTTAGATCTCTTTCACTGTCTTAGTCATCATTTTGCAAAGGTGGTTTCATATACACACACAAGAAACCCCCAAAAAACAAAAACAAACTTTCCTGTATATGTCCTTATCCCTTCTCTTTCATTGCCCTTCATACTGAAGTCGTCCTTCAGTTTAGGTGCCTTCCGTGCAGTCTACACTACTTCCTGTCTCTTGTGAATAATAGCTCACCTTTTTTGAGTACTTTCTCAATATAAGTGCTCAATCTCACTTAATCCTTAACAATAGCTTGGTGAAGAAGGTCCTACTATTTCCCACATTTGGCATATAACGAAACTGACCTTTACAGGCTCAGGAACTCATCTAAGATCAGTTAATAAGGATGTGAAAGAATTGAATCTTGAATCCAGATCAATCTATCAGTGTACTTAAAAAATTCTGAGGCTGGGCATGGTGGCTCATGCCTGTAATCCCAGCACTTTGAGAGGCCGAGGCGGGCAGATCACTTGAGGCCAGGAGTTCCAGACCAGCCTGGCCAACATGGTGAAACCCCATCTCTACTAAAAATACAAAAAATTAGCCAGGCGTGGTGGTGCACGTCTGTAATCCCAGCTACTCAGGAGGCTGAGGCAGGAGAATCTGTTGAACCCAGGAGGAGGAGGTTGCAGTGAACCGAGATCATGCCACTGCACTCCAGCCTGGGTGACAGAGCTAGATTCTGTCTCAAACAAAAACAAAAACAAAAAAAAATCTACACAACTCCCCTTTATATTTTCTGGTCCCAATTTGTGCACTTTTTCCTCTGCCATGTATACTTGTTTCCTAATTCAATGCTGCTCTCTGTTCAAGTCCAACCTGACTCTTTCGTTCTATCACTCTGTTTTGAGTTTCTCGCCCATGTGTTGCCAGCCTCACTACGGAAGGCTGTGCACACTCTACAGTTAAGACACTTGTTCTTGACTTATGCCATACTGTGGAAAAGACTATTTATGTCCTACAAAAAAACTTTGTTGTTTTAGATCAGAGAATACTGCTTTCCTGGGAGTGTCAAGGAGAAAAGCACGCCCATGACAAATGAAATAAACGTTCCTGTTATAATGTTTTCTGTATTTCTACTTTAATTTGACTGCAAATACAGCAAAATAGCCAGACTTTAGAGATTGTCAGAGACTAGCGGGGATTCCTGTTCATCAGTTTTTTTTTAAAGCTATTTTCTGCCCACATAATATGGGTCAAAAAATGTACATATTTGCCAAATTACTGGCCAATGCTTTAAAAGAATTATTGCCAAGTTATAGAATTTTTAAGTTCAAAAACATGTAAAAGATCAGCATTTCAACACTATTTACTTAGCTTTTTCTAACAGGCCATGATTTATTGTTTTGTAGTAAGCAACTGGATATTTGAGTATTAAAAATATTCTATTACTGTAAGATGAAAGACGGTGTAATGGTTAATACTGAGTGTCAACTTGATTGGATTGAAGGATGCAAAGTATTGTTCCTGGGTGTGTTTGTGAGGGTGTTGCAAAAAGAGATTAACATTTGAGTCAGTAGACTGGGAGAGGCAGACCCACCTTCAATCTGGGTGGGCACCATCTAATCAGCTGCCACTGCAGCTAGAATAAAGTAGGCAAGAGAAGATGGAAGAGCAGACTTGCTGAGTCTTCTGGTCTTCATCTTTTTCTGTTCTGGATGCTTCCTGCTTTCAAATATCAGACTGCAAGTTCTTCAGTTTTAGGGGCTCTTGGACTTAACCAGTGATTTGCCAGAGGCTCTCAGGCCTTCAGCCACAGACTGAAGGCTGCACTGTCTGCTTCGCTATTTTTGAGGTTTTGGAACTCAGACTGGCTTCCTTGCATCTCAGCTTGCAGACAGCATATTGTGGGACTTCACCTTGTGATCGTGTGAGCCAATACTCCTTAATAAACTCCCCTTCATATATACATCTATCCTATTAGTTCTGCCCCTCCAGAAAACCCTGACTAATACAGATTTGAGGGACAACACTGTTATTAAGTCATCAACCTTTCTTTGACTGCAAAAGCCCCTGAAACCATAGGATCTTATGGACAATTTGTTTCCAGCATCCTGAGCTCTTAATTCATGTGATTGTATTACGGCACCAGTTAGACCTAGAAGTGGATGTGAAGAAAGGCATCTCCTGAGTCTTATTTATTCCCATATATCTCCCTCTCCACTGATTTTTTTCGGAACTGGCTTCCTTTCAGTCTTGCCCCATATTACCTCTATTCAGTTTGTTCCTTTCTGTTCTAAATCCTGGATTTAGTCATTTCCCACTAATAAAGAATCCATAGCTTTCTTAAATAAGATGTAGATAGATAAATTATGAAGAGAATGGAAAACAAAGTTAATAGAGTTTTAGGGATTCTGGAACATCTAGCTACCAAGTATCCAGAAAAAAAATTGCAGATACAAAATTCTTCTACCATACAATATTACCTGCTGTCAAGTCCTGGCTTTCTATTACACAAGTGAGGTGACGCCAAATGCTGTAATGTTGGCAACACTAATTATGCATTGAAATCGTTGTTCTTTGTCTATAGCTAATAGGGTATAATAGTTCTTTCTCAATAGCTAATAGGGTGTAATAGTGTCCAATAGGGTGGCTACTTGCCATATGTGGCTATTTAAATTACTTAAAATTAAAAAAAATTAGTTCCTTAGTTGCACTAGCCACATTTGAAGTGCTTAACAGCCGCATATGACTAGTTATTACCATATTGGATATCACAGATATAGAACATTTTCATCATCTCAGAAAATTCTATTAGATAATGCTGCTATTCCAGTGTTTGTTTAGACCAGCGCTTCTCAAATTTTAATACGCCTAAGGATCATGTGATAACGAACATTCTTATGCAGTATGTCTGGGATGTGGTTTGAGATTCTCATTTCCTTTAAAAAATTTAAAAATTGATATATAAAAGTTGTACATATTTTGGGGGTACATGTGATATTTTGATACATGTATACCAGCCATCCCCTACCTTTTTGGTGCCAGGGACCAGTTTTGTGGAAGACAATTGTTTTATGGGAGGGGGTTGGTTTTGCCATGAAATTGTTCCACCTCAGATCATCAGGCATTAGATTCTCATAAGATGCACACAACCCAGATCCCTCACATGCACAGTTCACAATAGGGTTTGTGCTCCTATGAGAATCTAATGCCGCTGATCTGACAGGAGTCGGAGCTCAGGTGGTAATGCTGGCTCACCCACCACTCACCTCCTGCTGTGCTGTGGGATTCCTATCAGGCCACAGACCATACTGGTCCATGGCCCGGGGGTTGAGGACCACTGATGTGTAATATGCAATGTATAATGATCAAATCAAGGGAATACACATCACCTCAAACATTTATCTTTTCTTTGTATTGGAAACGTTCCAATTCTTTTCTACTTATTTTGAAATATATAATAAATTATTAACTATAATTTCCCTACTGTCCTATTGAATACTAGAGCTTATTTCTTCTATCTAACTGTATTTTTGTGCACGTTAAGCAACTTCTGTTCATCCCCACCTCCCTTCCCAGCCTCTACCAATCACTATTCTACTCTTTACCTCCATGAGATCTGTTATTTTCGTTCCCAAGTATGAATGAGAACATGCAATGTTTTTCTTTTTTGTTTGTTTTGTTTTAAGGCAGAGTCTTGCTCTGTGCCCCAGGCTGGAGTGCAGTGGCACTATCTTGGCTCACTGCAACCTCCACCACCCAGGTTCAAGCTATTCTCCTGCTTCAGCTTCCTAGTAGCTGGGATTACAGGTGCATGCCACCACATCTGGCTAATTTTTGTATTTTTAGTAGAGAAGGGGTTTCACCATGTTGACCAGGCTGGTCTGGAACTCGTGGCCTCAAGTGATCTCCCTGCCTCCGCCTCCCAAAGTGCTGGGATTACAGGCATGAGCCACCACGCCTGGCCTTACATTTTTCTTTCAATGCCCGTCGTATTTCCCTGAACATAATGACCTCCTCATTTCTAACAAGTTCTTCCATGTTCCAATACTTTTAGTGCAGAGATTATAATTTGAGTAGCAAGGCTTTACACTACACTATAAGGTAGTTGTTCTTATACTGCTATACGTTAATTACCAAAAGCTTTAAAATCCTGATGGTCATGCAGCACCTGAAACCAATTAAACCAGAATCTCCGGAGATGGGACTCAGGCATCAGCATTTTTAAGAACTTCCCAGATGAATCAGTGTGCAGCCAAGTTTGAGAAGCAGTGGTATAAGGTAGGTGGTTTTCAAATTTTAGCCTGCATCAGAATTATTTGGTGAGCATATTAAAACACAAATGTTTGGACCCTGCCTTTTGAGTTTCTGATTCAGCAGGTCTGGCATGGAGTCTGATTTTTTTTTTTTATAACAAGTGCCCAGGTGATGCTGATGCTGTTGTTCTGGGACCAGTCTGAGAACCACCGATGTAAAGCCTTGGTATCACAGCGTGGGCATTACCTGGGAGGTCCTTAGATGCAGAATCTAGGGTCTTACTTCAGACCTACTGAAGCAAAAACTGCATCTTAGCAAGATCCCCAGATGATCTGTATGTTAAAGTTTGAGAAACTCTGCTGTAACGCACTGAGGGATATCTTTAACTGCTAATCCAATTGATAAGGAAATTTTGTCTTACTATAGTATCATTAGTGAAGAAGCCAGATATAATGTAGCCCATGTGGCACAAGGTTAACTTAATGCAGTGGTTCTGGAAGTATGACTGCCCATCGGCAGCATCAGCAGCAAGTGGGTACTTGTTGAAAATGCAAATTCTTAGGCCCCATCCCAGACCTTCTGGACCAGCCATTCTGAGAGTGGGGCTTTGCAATGTGTTTTACCAAACCTTCTAGATATTTCTTCCGTATGTTCATGTTTAAGATCCACTGACTTAGTGACGACATGTGTGAGCTCTAGAGCCAGATAAACCTGGTTTAAAGACCAGCATATTTTTCAGCACCACTGCTGACACAATAATTACCTGGGTTTCTCCTGTAGAATGAGGATGAGGATAATAGCAGTAAATACCTCAGGAGGTCATCATTAGACATATTAATTACCTCAGGTTTCCCCTATAGAATGAGGATGAGCATAATAGCAGTACATACCTCAGGAGGTCATTATTAGACATATTAATTACCTCAGGTTTCCCCTATAGAATGAGGATGAGAATAATAGCAGTACATACCTCAAGAGGTCATAATTTTCTCATTTGCACTAGAAAATACGTGAAATGCTCTCAACAGTGGCTAGAAAACATGTTATATGACAGTATTATTATTATTACATGACTGGCAAGAAATATTTTTATAAGAGCCCACTGCTTACATGAGGCAGAGAGGGTAATGTTCCAAAACTGCCTACAGATGAAGGTGTTTATAATTTTGATGGTCGCACCTGGGGTTTCCTGGCTCATCCCGTAGTATGTATTGTCAATTCTGTGACTGCTAAAACACTTAGTTCATCACAGGAATAAAGCCTGCCCAATAGCCTACTTGTATTTTATCTCCAGGATGTATTACAATTTCCTAGAAGGTGATGTGGTAAAATAGGCAAATTACTATTCAGCATCTGGCCCGTGGACTACTGCTCTCCACTTGCCATTTTAATTTAATTTTATTTTAGTTTATTTTTTTGAGATGCATTCTCCCTCAGGTGTCCGGCCCAGGCTGGAGTGCAGTGGCATGATCTCGGCTCACTGCAACCTCTGCCTCCTGGGTTCCAGCGATTCTCCTGCCTCAGTCTCCCAAGTGGCTGTGACTACAGGCATGCACCACAATGCCCGGCTAATTTTTGTATTTTTAGTAGAGACGGGGTTTCACCATGTTGGCCAGGCTGGGCTCGAACCCCTGACCTCAGGCAATCCACCCACCTTGGCCTCCCAAAGTGCTAGGATTACAGACATGAGTCACTGCGCCCAACCTCCACTTGCCTTTAGATCCAATACTGTACCTATCTAGGTTTTAGCACCTGGCCTCCTGTATAGTCATGGATGAAGCTCAGCCAGCCTCCTAAGAAATATGCCTCATAAGCACAAGCCACTGGGGCTGGGTTGTGTTAGCCACCCAAAGATACAATGCTTTGTCTGTTTTTTTTTTTAACCCCACACCCATGTATACATTCAAAGTTATATACTATGAGCCAGCATTTGAGGGTTTTAGAAGGGGATAATTCTTCCTTTGCCCATGGATTACCTCTGTAAGGATGGAAAATATGTTTGGATTAAAAAAAAAAATGGCCATCTTCTTTCCTCTACCTTTTTTCCTTTCTAATTTGCCCACTAAAGATGTTCAATTGCTCTACCTAACTCACAGCTTTAGTTGCCTTAAAGCTCCGTGACAAAAACTACTGGAATCATGCAGTCCTCTCTTTGGCCTATTGCTCATTTTAGTTTTCTTTTTTTAAAAATTTTAACTTTTATTTTTAAATTCAGGGGTACATGTGCAGGTTTGTTACATGGGTATATTGCATGATGCTGAGGTATGGGTGCAAGTGATCCCATCACTCAGGAGTGAGCATAGTACCCAGCAGTTAGTTTTTCAACCCCTGCCCCTCTTTTCCCTTTCCTCCTCCTCCCTCTGGTGGTCTCCAGTGTCTATTGTTGCCATCTTTATGTCCATGAGTACCCAACGTTTAGTTTCCACTTGTAAGTGAGAACGTGTGGTATTTGGTTTTCTGTTCCTATGTTAATTTGCTTAAGATAATGACCTTCAGCTGCATCCATGTTGCTGCAAAGGACATAGTTTTGTTCTTTTTTATGATTGCATAGTATTCCATGGGGTGTAAGAACCACATTTTCTTTATCCAATCCACCACTGATAAGCGCCTGGTTTGATTCCATGTCTTTGCTATTGAGAACAGTGCTGTGATAAACATAGGAATGCGTCTTTTTGGTAGAATGATTTATGTTTCTTTGGGTGTATACCCAGTAATGGAATTGCTGGATCAAATGGTAGTTCTGTTTTTAGTTCTTTGAGGGCTCATTTCAGTTTTGAATAAAAACATAAAGCTTGGATAAACTATAATATTTCAGAAGTACAATTTTTTCTATTGTTTCTAGTGACATAATTTGAGAGAAATATGTCCCAATAGAAACTATTGTTTCTAGTGACAAAATTTGAGAGAAATATAAAGAATGATATACGCTTTTTCCTTCAGGCTATGGAGCAACTAAATCAAATGATCTCTACTCCTCTGTTTCTTTGTCATTTGCATAACCTGCTCCATCCCCACTGTGATGTTTCCATAGGAATTTGAGTGATACTCTCCAATCAAAGAGTGTCTCAGGATCTGGGGATTTATCTCATTCAGAAGTTAAGTTGAACACTCCCAAGAAAACCCCCCCACCACATGTTAGATTAGAATAATAAAATGTATTGACAATGATAGAACTTGGAATCCCAAGAAACCTTGTATAATCATTCAGTTCATTAGTTCTCAAATGTGAGTGTGCATCAGAATCTCCTAGGGGGTTTGTTAAAACAGATATTGTTAAATCACATCTCAGAGTTTTTTTGCATAGGTTTGGACTGGTGCTAGGCAATGTGCATTTCTAACAAATTCCCAGGAGTTCTGCTGTTTTCCTGAAGTAGGAGAGTCAATAGTTGAATGTCGCAGGTAAATATAGGAAAATAAGGACAGGAAAGTCATCATTGGATTTAACATGGAAAAAGGTATCTTGTAAGCTTTGTAAAGCATTTTAGCAGAGTGGTGGCAATAGAAGCTAGCTTTCAAATGGTTACCAAACAAGTGGATAGATGGGGATGACAAATTTCGAGTCATGAAAAACTTGAACAACATATACTGCCTACCTTCTAAATTCTTTCCATTTATATTTCTGGTTATATATCTTCCCTGAGGCTTTGATTTTTGACCTCGGAGGGTAATTTTAAGATAAAAATCTTCTCTTAGATTTGGCTTCTACTATAACTGCCTTAATCTGAACTAGACTAAGATAATGACAACCAGAATTTTGGGAAAAAAAATGTGCATTTGCAGATCTTGGATTCTTGGATTACCTTTTTGAGTTAGCTAGACAGACATCTATAATGTTGAGATCCTACATTAAACTTCCAGAGGAAGTAAGCCACCATTGAAAATTTGAGTTAACTTCAACTGTGACTTAACAACTGGGAAGCATGTATTTCTTATTGAGATAATTTTCTGAATAAATGTATTGGATAGTCTTATTCTATATTGTCTTCAACATGATTTCATTTATATTATTTTCCATTACATTGCACTAAAACCCTATCAAGCTGGCAGGATCTGTATGAGGAAATCAAAGATCAAAGATGTTAAGTAATTTACCCCCAAATAATGAAGTATGTGAAGTGCCGGGACTGAAAGCATAGCCAGGCTTCTTGACTGTGTTACATGGCACTGTCCAGCTGAAATATAATGCAAGCCAAATAAGTAATTTTAAATTTCTAGTAGCCAACATTAAAAAAGTAAAATGAAACAGCTACAATTAATTTATCAGTATATTTATTTTAACTCAACATATTGAAAATATACAGCTCAATAGTTACATACGGCTAGTGTGTTCCTCACTGGACAGCATAGTTTTAAACATTCTGAGAGGTTAGTCCCCAAAGTCACAGCTTATAAGGGTCAGTGGCAGAAGTTTTATTTATAAATATAATACAAATGAATATTAGTAAGTGGAAGTGTATTACTCTGTTATATGGCTGATGGTCTAGAGCTGCACTACTCAATACAGTTACCAGTATCCACACAGGACTACTTAAATTAAAATTAAGTAAAATTATTAAATAAAATTTAAAATATATACCTGCAGACAGATGAGCCATATTTTTTGAGCTCCATAACTCCCACGTGGCTACTGACTACCTATTAGACAGCATGGGAACATCTCTTTAGACATTCACGAGATACAGATCCATATATTTTTTTCAATTGACAGTTTCCATTCCCACCCCTGCCTCAGCCTTCACTCTACAATCATATTACTTTCTGGTTATTTATATGAATTACATCATTCTTTATGTGTTTTATAACTTGCTTTTATTCAATCAACAATATTTTCTGGGAGAATTTCCATATTCATATGTATATGTCTACATCATTCATTATAATGGCTTCATAGCCTTCTATTATATTTACCATAGATATTTTAAAATATCTCCCTTTGTGTAGTTTATTTTCAATATTTTGCTATTGCAAACAATAAAACATTGAGCATCATTTTGCATGCATTTTTTTTTTTTTGCTTTTGTGATAGTATTTCTTTCTTCCTTCCTTTCTTTGTTTTTGTGTGTTTGTTTTTCTGTTTTTAAGACAGGGTCTCACTCTCTTGCCCTGGCTGAAGTGCAGTGGCGCCATCACAGCTCACTGCAGCCTCAACCACCCAGCCCAAGCAATTCTCTCACGTCAACTTCCTGACTAGCTGGGACCACAGGTGCATGCCGCCGCACCAGGCTAATTTTTATATTTGTTGTAGAGATAGGATTTCACCACGTTGCCCAGGTTGGTCTCGAAACACTGGACTTACGTGATCCACCTACCTTGGCCTCCCAACGTGCTGGGATTACAGGCGTAAGCACGTACTGGGATTACAGGCGTGAGCCACCACAACCAGCCTGTGACAGTATCTCTTTAAACACTTTTCTCAAAAGCATATTCACTTCATCCAAGTATATACATATTTTTAATTTTGATAGATATTTTCAATCTGCTTTTCAAATGCCCCTCCCATTTGAAATGGCATCCCATCTTTAACTAAATTTTCATATATAAATGGCCTATTTCTTGACTATATTTTCTTAATAAATTTTTCTATTCTTGTATAAATATTAACTGAGTTGCCAACCATCACAGCATATGTTGAAACTATAGGACAGCCGGGTGTGGTGGCTCATGCCTGTAATCTCAGTGTTTTGGGAGGCCGAGGCAGGTAGATCACAAGGTCAGGAGTTTAAGACCAGCCTGATCAACATGGTGAAACCTCATCTCTACCAAAAATACAAAAATCAGCCAGGCACGGTGGCACAAGCCTGTAATCCCAGCTACCCAGCAGGCTGAGGCAGGAGAATTGCTTGAACCTGGGAGGCGGAGCTTGCAGTGAGCCAAGATTGCGCCACTGCACACCAGCCTGGGTGACAGAGCGAGACTCTGTCTCAAAAAAAAAAAAAAAAAAAGGAAGAAAAGAAAACCTGTAGGACAAGTCTGATCTTTTATTTATTTAAAAATGTCTTTGCATCTCTGAGCTTTTTCTCTATCTTATAAACTTCAGAATTAGTAGTTTCTTCAACCTTAATTCAAGGGTCAAGTTGACCCAAAATATGATCATATATTCAAGACCATTTGGATATATTTATTTTAAATTTATCAGAATTCAAAGGGTAATCTACATTTGCCATTGCATGGATTTGCTAGATAATAGACCTATTTCACTTAAAAATGACAAAGCATGTAAAGTATTTGACACATTTTAGGCAATGCTCCATCCTTATTTCATGAGCAAGACCAGACCTTACTGTTAGCTTTTAAATCATATATTTTAAGTACAAATGGCTTCTGGGTAATGATCACTAACATTAGAATTTTAATTTATTATGTTTCTGTAATAATTTAGCTCTAAAATCTTTTGGAATATCCTATCTCCAAAATCCTTTGACACAAAAATATGTTTTATAAGTTTTGTCCTGAAATAAGGGAAAGTACATATTTCAATCATTATTTTTTCATTACAGTTGCCCTTCAGCTCAGAATTCTCGTTAAAAGTGCCAGTTATATTTTAAAACTCTTAGCAATTTAGGTACATTTAAGTGTATATATTAATCAGATTGTGTTACATATTTATTCATTACAAATTAAAAGTGGAAAAGGGGAGAAAAAACCTTTCAAATTTTCCAGCTATTCTGTTCCCTAATGACACCTTTTATTTTAGACTTCAAAACATTTTGAGGAAAACTTTTGCAGTTCTAAGAAAAAGCTGCGAAATGTAAGCCTTTCAAATGAAAATCTAAAACAAGAAGAAGAAAAGTTTCTTTCTTTCTTTTTTTTTTTTTTTTTGAGACAGTGTCTCCACTCTGCTGTCCAGACTAGAGTGCAGTGGCTTCATCTCAGCTCACTGTAACCTCTGCCTCAGCCTTCCAAGTAGCTGGGACTACAGGCGTGTGCCACCATGCCCAGCTAATTTTTGTATTTTTAGGAGAGACAGGGTTTCACCATGTTGGCCAGGGCTGGTCTCGAACTCCTGGCCTCAAGTGATCTGCCTGCCTTGGCTTCCCAAAGCGCTGGGATTACAGGCATAAGGCATTGTGCCCAGCTCAACAAGTTTATTTCTTTGTAACAAGAAAAGGAGGTTTCTTGTTAAAGGAGGTACTTTTTTCCTAAGTTCTCTTCTGCTTACCGTGAGCCCAAGAGAAAAATTGGCAGGCGAAATGTAGGCAAGTACATGCCTCAGCTATGCAAAAAGTAAACTACAATGGAAAAAAAAAGTCCTTTGCGTTGATATAGACTACATAAACTACAAAAACCTACCTTTTAATATATTCAATTTTATAGTTCCAAAGATGTTTCCTGGGGAATTCTATGAAAAGTAAATAAAGAAATTAGAAAATTAACTAAATGAAAATAAATAAATTCCTCAACTGATGTAGCAATATGTTTTCATTTAACGTCCTTTGTATTTTTTTTTTTTACAAATATTTTGTAACGTTGGGCCAAAAAACATTTTTACACTTCTGTCATCTGTGTGACTAATTCAAAATTGTATATTCTTACAATTGGAACCTCTTGTATTGGTTTGTTTCAGTTTCACACCACTAAGATACAGGATGTCACACTTTTAGAAAAATCAAAATAGCAACAGAAACCCAATGAATGTGAAACTCTGTGGAGCAGTTTCATATTCTGGAACAACGGAATGTGCTTGATTTTGTCTTCATTCCATATCAAACAATAAGCACTTGTAGAGCATTTTGGGACTGGGGTCATTTTATTTGTTCTTTGTATGTGTTTTGTAAAAATCCTATGAACTGACACAACAGGTCCCAGTGGACATGTAAAAAAATGTTTTCAAAGGCCTTACCATGCATTGTTAAGGTCCTAGTAAATCATGATTTTGTGCTGTGTGACCACATGATGCTATCAGACATGGAGCCCCACAAACAGGAATGGCAGAGCCTCCCTGTAGGTGACTGAAGGCCATTAAGCCGTCATTTAAAAAAAGAAAATAACATGTCAAAGGGTGGCACTTCCAAAATTGTCTGAGTCTGGTTCTCTCCAGGCCACTAAATTGGTTCAGACCTAATTTTATATCCTTGAGAAGAAGGTAGGGAGAAAAAAAGAAAATTCTGGCTATTATAATAATATATTTCTAACTAAATATGATCAAGTTGGAGGTTGTGCTGGGCTGGGGAGCGACCAATCTGTTTTTTGTTTTTTTTTGTTTTTTTTGTTTTTTGTTTTTTAAATGCGCTCCAAGTTAATATGTCTCTAACTTCAATGTTAATATGTCCAGACTAGAGTCACTCAGTATAGGCATTACTGACATCTGGGCCTGATCATTTTATTTTTTATTTTTTTGAGAGCGAGTTTTGTTCTTGTCACCCAGGCTAGAGGGCAATGGCATGATCTCGGCTCACTGCAACCTCCGCCTCCTGGGTTCCAGCAATTCTCTTGCCTCAGACTCCCAAATAGCTGGGATTACAGGCATGTGCTACCACGCTCAGCTAATTTTTGCATTTTTTTTTTTTTTTTAGTAGAGATGGGTTTTCGCCTTGTTGGTCAGGCTGGGCTTGAACTCCTGACCTCAGTGATTCACCCGCCTCAGCCTCCCAAAGGTCTGGGATTACAGGCGTGAGCCACTGTGCCCTGCCAGGGCCTGATAATTTTTTATTATAGGGAGTGGTCTTTTGCATTGTATGACATTTAGCAGTATCTCTGGCTCCTACACACTCGAAGCCAGTAGTACTCCCCTAGACACACAGATGTGACAACACAAAATGTCTCCAGTCCTTGCCAGATGTCTTCCGAGGGGCAAAATATTCTGGACTATGTCTTTGCTTGTTTTCCATGTACAAAGACAGTTTGCTGATGAGTCTATTCACTAATCCATGATTGTTTTTTATTTTGTTCTTTTTTTTGTTTTTGGAGGGGGTGATATTTTGGTAGAGGGAAGTCATAAACTCTTTAACTTTATAACATCAGAATGATTTAATGCTATCAAGACACTGTTAAATAGGATCAAGAAAAGAATATATTGGGTATGTTTGACAGGCTCAAATAAGATAGAAATTATTGCTTTGGGAATTGCCTTGCCCCAGCAAGTAAAATATTACCATAGTTTGAAGGGTCATAATCAAGGATTAGTATCAGTCTTCTTATAGTAATACTAAAGAATTATGGAATTATTGCTACTTTTTGGTGAACTTACACATGGGGAGGGTGAAAGGAAAGGAGAAAGACAGAAAGCTGATTCAATAGCTGAGCTATTGAATATCTTCAATAGATAGCTAGTATTTACCTTGCTGCTTACGATGGACCAGACACAGTACCAAGCACTTAACATATGTTACTTCATCCACAAAGAATGCACTACTATTATTGTCATTATACAGATGAGGAGACTGATGTTTAGTGAGGTTAAATAATGCCGCCAGTTTCCCATCCAGAAAGAGTTAGATTTTGATTAGAATCAGGGAGACTTAGCCCCTAGTTTATAACAACCTGATGAACTGACTATGCTGGTTTACCTTTGAATTATTCATTATTAATGATAAATGTTTATCTGTCCATCATTTTAAGGTAGGTACTGACCCATCAATTCATCTGTATTCAGTAAATATAAGTTTATTTTGTTACTAATGAATCCAAACATCTTTAGGATAGTTAATGTGATATATGCATATGAGAGTATGTGGAGGGGAAAATAACATAAAGTACTCCAAAGAAAAATACAAATAATTTCATTCATGACCACTGGTTCAGGTATTTTCATGTCATAATTCCCCTTGTTACTGTAGAAAATGGAGCATATTGAAAACTTAAACCCTTGGGAAACAAAGATTACAGAATCCTCCTTTGGCATTTTGTGTGGCTGATCCACAATCTGTAGAACATAAAACAAGTATATCTCACTTTATAAATTAGGTACAATACAGGAATTTCCAGCTTATCAAATTTAGGGGCCTTATAAATATGTAATGATTTAGAACTTAAGTTTTAGTGTCAGAAACCTTTAAGTTCAAATTCCATTTTCACCACATACTTTCGAGGCTTGCACAAAGGGCCTATTTTCTTTAAGCTTCCACTTTCCTATCTATAAAATAGGAATGAAAATAGAACTCATCTCATAGGTTTCTTGTATTAGACAATCATATATAATGTACATAAGACAATGGGCACATCCTCCTTTGCAGTAAATTCTCATCAAATGGTAGTTTTATATGCATTCATGTGTCTGTGTACTTAGGCCCAGTGATTGTCAATGAGGAAATAGTAAAGTCCAATCATAGTTCCAGAGAAGGATGATTCTGCTAGCTGCATTTACCTTACTAGAAGACCCATGAAAACTCTTTCTCTTATGGCCATAACTCAGTCACTGTCCCCACCTTAAGAAAAGCCGTGGCCATCGTCTAATAGCTTGGGAGGCAGGTGAAGAGGAGCTGTTGAATCTGTGGAACTCCTAAAGGCAGTACTAGTGGCCTTCTTGGTAACTGTGGTATTTTCAAGTAGAGAAGTGATTAGTGGAGGGTGAGTGGCACTCCAGAAGGGATTGTAGACTAAAATTACCTGCTTTATATCTTCAATCATAGACGCTTCTCACCTTCTAATTAAGACCCTTGCTAAGCAGGGTCTCCAGGGAACAATATTTCATGCCCTTTCCTTCCCCCAGCCCCTCTCAGAACTGTTTCCTATTGCCCAGTGTTCCATTTCCCATCTATGAATAACACAATTCTGATTTTATTTGGAAAGCCACCCCTTCCATTCTCAGCCATGTGGTTTTGGTAGCCTTGATCTCTTTCCTAACCCAAGGGGTGAGCCCCGATCAGCTTAAGCCAATTGAAAATGCCCAAATCCCTGGTCAAAGTGCTTGATTTGGGATTGGATGCTAAAGACAATCATAGTCAGGAGATGAAAGAAGAATTTGCTGGAGTGTCCTCTTCTTTCCTAGTTGGCAGTGTAAGAATGTGTGAGCTGTGGAACATTTATAGCCACGTTGCTATAAAAAGGCAAAATCATAGGGGGCAGAGTAGCGTAAGGTACATAGATGTGCTTTGGTCATGGAATAGGCTGAGGTGGATATCCAGGGCTGCATAACTCAGCGAGTTTGGTGTGCAGGTGCACACTTCCACTTGTTATATACTCTGTTTGGGTAAGTTCATACTTGGCTCTGAGCCACTATTTCCTGTAAAAGGTATAATTGCCCTGCTAACACTGTACGGGGGCTCTTGGGGCTCAACATGGCTTGATATGGTGGGTGTGCTGGTGCCCAGAGTAAAAGAGAGAGCCAAAGCTGCCTGTCTTGCAGACAGACAGGAGGGAGTCAGGACACAGCTCAGCTTGCTCGTGCCCAGAGACAGAGAGTTAAGCTGCTGACCCTGAAGGCAAGGGAGAGCCAGGCACACAGCTGTGTGTGGGAGCCATGGATTCAAGCAGCCGAAAGAGGGCAGACGGTGTGAGAGAGCTAGTTGATGAGAGCTGTTGCTGAATAAAACCACCTGAGTGTTTTTTCTGCTCATCCATCCACTCCCCTCAACTTCAGCATGGGATGGACCTGGACAGGTAGCCATTAGGGAAGACATTTAGACTGCTGAATGACACCTAGCCTGCAATTATTTGGCACTTGGACTTTATGGTCAAGGAAGCCAGTAAATACTTTTTTTTTCTTTTTTTCCACCAGCTTCAGTTGGGTTTTCATTTACAGCTTAAGATCTCCTGATCTACCCATATTTTTTTTTCATAGTATCTTAATCTTTTATTATAGAACTTATACTATGTTTAATGTTATGGTTATTAACATGTCTGTATCCTGCACTGGGTTTGGAGATCCAGAATTGGTTAGGAAGGCTTATCTAGGTGACTTTCTTCTTTCTCTCCCCCTGGGACATGATGGCATTTTTTCATGCAGTCAATCCTCAGTAAATTATTGAGTAAATGAATGAACGAAAATACAACTTTAAGTCTGTTTCGGGATTAAGACAATATTTGGCAATTTGTTTTTCAAATTCCTAAACAACTAATATGTTAGATGAGTATTATTTAATTAATTTATTCTCATTTTACAAAAAAGATAAAGAAGAGAGAAAGCATTTTGAACCATCGTTCTGATCCTGGGTCACAGAAAATTGTGTGGACTCGGAGTGGAAACTGGAAATTGACCCATCTGTTACTTTTAGTCATTTTTTTCTTCCTAAGAAAATAGTATGTGATGAAGTTACAGGTGCCAGTGGGTAGCACCTTATTCTTTGGATACACAGATAACCGGTGCCCTGAGACTTGTTTAATTCACTGGGAAAGGTGGGAATTACAGCACTCACCTCCATGGAACAGCAGGTGGATGTCTCCAAAAGCACAGGAATAGTGAGCTCTGGATGATCCTGCAGATGTCCATGGCCCTCGTTTTTTTTTTATTTCTGTTAATTTTTTCATAAGAATGATTTGGTATCTGTATACAAATCCAGAGGAAACATGCTGCTAGAACAATAAACTATTTTCAGAGTCAGTTTGATCAATATTGGGCTGGAGTTGGCATGCTCTCATGTCATCTCAGAAGTGGTACAATTATTGGTTCGAGCCGAACAATAAAAGCCTCACATAGTAAAAGTAGGTGATTTCTTATGTAGTGGACACATGTGTGGCGGGGGGCACACAGTGCAAGTAGCTACTTCATACATAGGCATAGGTTGCCTCTGGGTAAAAGAGAAGAACAATAGTTAACTAAGGCAGCCATAGCTGGTGCTATGTGGAGGTAAAGTATTTCTCTTATAAAGGGAAAAACCCTAATCACAGCCAGTCCGTGGCTGATGTGGCTGCACTGGAGCTCATATGTTGCTGTTTTGTGAAGACTGTGCTAAAGTATCTCAGCGCATAATAACTCAAACTCCTTTTGCTCACAGAGCATCTGGGGCTTCCTTATTTTTTTTTATTATGACCATTATTTAATATTTATTTAACACCTTCAAACTGATAGGTTCAATTCCCAATATAAAAAGCCACAAAATTTGTTCTGAAGAGTGGATCTAATTTACAAAGAAAATCTTAAAATAGATTACAGTCATGGTCATGGGGCCATTGGTGATGCCTCTGATGATGTCATGGATGTAGTATTGTAGTGGAAAGTTCTACCCTCAAACTGCTTGGCTGTGAGGTTGGCTGCATCACTGAGTAGCTCTGTCACCTTGGGCAAGTTACTTTTTTAATATCTCAATTTCCTCATCTGAAAAATGGGATTAAAAATAGCACCTCTTTCATATCTCAGAGCAGATTAAGAGATCTGATTATGGCATATTTAGTACAGTACTTTACTGTCATGTAGCGAGCACATAGAACATGTTAGCTATTATTATGAAGACTTTATGTTCAGCACATAGAATTTGTAAAACTACAGAAATAAGAGAAGAATAAATTGGTGCTTATTTTTATGGAGAGAAAGCCCTTCACAAACAAATTGGACTACATACTTCATCTATCAATCAGCTGACCTAACACTCCTCTGGTTCCTCCCAAAACAAAAATCAACAAACACATATAATTAAATTTTGAACTGGTAGGTTGGTTCGTAAGTTTCTACCTTGAAATGACAATAGAATTTGCTGAGATGCCTGCATCCCCACTTCAGCTCTTTAAAGATGCAACTACAGTAGAATCTCCTGTGTGATATTACATCGCCTAGTGTATCTTTTAGGGGGCTGTTTTATTTTCTCCTAACTTTTCTCTCTCTGTTGCTTTCCATGTAAACTAGTGCAACTTCTTTTTAATTAAAAAACATCCGAGGTCAGTTAGGAATGTCCTTGTGACTCCTTTGTGTATTATAAAATAGACCCTCTGGGGAAATGAATCATGCTATTATCTGGTTAGCTGGCTCATGCTAGCGAAAATACAATAAAAATACCCTTTCAAATAGTCTTCCACACCCTTCTTGTTCTTTTCCCCATCTAGTCTCCACATTGCTGACAGAACATGTAGTCACTTGTTCAGTATCAGCCTTTTGTATCAGCATAAAAGCTCCAGGAGGACAGGGACTATGTCTTTTTCTTCCACACTTTATCCTCAGGAAACAGTGTGGTGCCTGATTCATAGCACTATACTCATTAAACATTCAGTAAATGAATAAATGAATATCCAACTGTTAGCTGGAAAAATAAAACATGTTGGATGCCAACATCAGTTGACTTGGAAGTAGTGGGCCAACTATTGGCTAAAGAACCACGCAAGCATTACTCCCTGAAGAATTTATTTGTGAACCTTAGTGGAATGTTTACTGGTCTACCAGGAGATAAGAGAGAACAAGCATAAAAAGTGAGTCATTAAAGTTAGGAATTTTAATAGCAATTTGCTATTTAAATGTGTGTTGACTGATGACTTAAAATAGATGAATCATATTTTTGAGGATCAATTACATTTCATTTTTATTAGAATTTGCACAGAACCAGAACTGGAATGGACTACAAACACACACATTTCTCTCTTCAGATATTCCATCAAAAGAATGGTTCATGTAAATGAAAGTGAACCAGTTGTGTTAACCCAACTTAGTAATAGCCTTACATTGCCCTTTGTTCATGTAGTAATGGAAATTGTTTTTTTCTCATTATATGTGTAATACATATCCAATGATTATGAAATATCAACAAATACAAATATTCCCCTTCCAAAAAGGAAAGAAATATCTTGTTTAATTTTACCCTGAGATAACTTAGATTAATAATTGAAATTATATCATCCTACTCATATATGTATTTTTAGTAAGCGAATTATACCAAAATTCATGTTAATTTTTTAAATCTTCTATTCTAGGTATAATATCTACATTGAAATCAAACTATATAAAACATTAAGAAAATGAAAATTTCATGTAATCTTATGCCCTAGTGACATTCTACATAAAATTTGGTGCATAGACCTATGATGATATGTTTCCATTACTGGCTTACTAGGAGATAAGTAAAGAGAGAATTCACATACAAAGTGAGTCAATAAAGTTAGAAACTTTAATAGCAACTTGCTGTTTTAATTGTATTTTTGTCACCAGGGAATTAGAAATAATAATAATAACTTTAAAAAAATGTGGCTCTTCACTTCAGATAGATGGAGAAGCACTGGACTAGTGAGAATTTTATTTATATTAGTTCAGATCATTTTCAATCCATGTGTTACTATAGCTATATCTTTATCTATAGCTATATATTTATCTATCTATATCATGTATATAAATATACACACACATCTATCTATATACACAGATACATATATTAATTGACAAGGTATGTTTAATTAAAATATATACAAATATATACAAATATATTTATTGATTTTTATACTTATGGGGCAAATAGTTTTCAATCTTCAAAATAGCTGTAGAAGTTTGTTATAATGTTTATCTATTTCTCAAACAGGTGTGTGTTTATAAACTTAGTAGCACATTTTCAGCAGAGGAGAGAAGCACTGGTAAACTTTCAAACTGAAATATGCATTCAGAACTTACAAGAAGACAAAAAAAAACCTTTGAAATAATTTTAGAGCTGAGAATCCTAAGAGTGGGCTCAAAGAGTCAATAAAATCTTATCTTGTAGTTGAGGATACTAAGATAAAGAATGGGTAAGTTTTGGTTATTTGTTTTGTTTTGTTTTGTTTTTGAGACAGAGCCTCCCTCTGTTTCCCAGGCTGGAGTGCAGTGGTTCTATCTTGGCTTGCTGCAACCTCCACCTCCCAGGTTCAAGGGATTCTCGTGCCTTAGCCTCCCTAGGAGCTAGGATTACAAGCGTGCACCACCATGCCCAGCTAATTTTTGCATTTTTTAGTAGAGACAGGGTTTTCCCATGTTGGCCAGACTGGTCTTGAACTCCTGACCTCAGATGATTTGCCCTCCTTAGCCTCCCAAAATGCTGGGATTACAGGCGTGAGCCACTGCACCCAGACAAGAATGGGTAAATTGTACAAGTTGTGTAAGTTGGCGTTGCGTCAACTTGCCAACTTGTGTGTTGACATTGTTAGATTCATGACCGGATTTCAAGTCTCCAGGGTCCCAGACCAGCACTTTTTCTTTTCTCTATTCTACTAAGGAATTGACTGTGGAATATCTGTTAATTGTAGATATTACCATATGGTCCCTCCTCCTTGTAACAATAGGTGTTGGTTTCAAAGATGGAAGTCAGACATAGAGTCAAGGGCAGGTTATCCTTAGGGACAATCACAGGTGATTATGTAGATTATTCTACTTTGACCAGGCATACTCAGTAAAAATTCCCAGAAAATTCTTAGGAAACCCAAGTTAACTCTGTATAGCCAGACAAGGTAATGCAGGTATTGAAACGCAGTTTTCCAATAATTTATTTGACACTTCCTTTTGCTTCATGTGAAGGCAGCCCTAAATTCTGCACTGGGACAAACAGTTGAGTCGCCGATGTTGCTTAATATAGGCTTGTTCTATAGAAGAAAAAAGTTTTGCCTGTAAAAACATAGCTTGCACGCTTCTGTTAGTTCTCTCTGAAGTTTTACATTTATGACAAGTTATCCATTTTTCTCTATTTTCCCTCTCCTCTGAAAGAAAACCAATATCTATATATATTAGGTGACAATTCTGGTAGATAAATTTGACATGTAATCCCACTGATTTATTTTATTTTAAATCTGCAATAAGAACTCAAATAATCAGTCAAGAGACATATTTTTTTTTCCTTTGCCTGCATTGCTCTATGAGATAATGATGAGACCAAGCCGATTTATCTCAATTCTGAGGGGCTTTTTATCAGCCATACCTGTATCATCCGGTAGCCATCTGAAATGTTTCACATTAGGTCTAACTGCAATACGGTCAACCGACCGTCTGATATAGATCATTAATCTCACACTTCAAAGGAAGAAGAATTTCTGTGGGAAGTTTTCACATCTGGTATTCTACTTGCTGATTTTTTTCATCCAAATCCTGATAATTGATTGCCAAATCTCTATCATCACATACAAGGCCCAGCACAAAGAAAATAAAGTTGTGTTTTTTTAAGTCACTTTGTATTTAAAAGAATGTATAACACTGATTCTTTTTTAAAGCAATATATAGCTATTTGCATAAGAAAGTCAGAAGATATAAAAAACTAAATGACAAAAGAAGTCATCTGTGAAAGAGAGGATTATAAAGGTTGCTTGCCTTTTCTGTTTGCATTTAAATTTTTTCTGCAATAACTATTATTACCTGGATAATTTAAAGTTAAGTTTTTAAGAACTAGAGTATATATAATTTCCATTATTTAAATAATAAACAATTTAATGCAAAGATTACTTTTATTTAAGGGGAAAATGACTGTGCTTAGTAATTATTAAACATGTGGTACTTATAATAGGGAAGGAATAAAATATATTTGAACTTTGTATTTTTATACAACAAATCTGGGTTAAAAACTAGGCTATATAATATTGGTAAGACTACCAGATAAAATACAGGACACCAGATTAAATTTGAATTCCAGATCCCAATAGATGATTTTTTAATATAAAAAAATTGAGAACATATTTATATTAAAATTTTTTTGTTGTATATTAGAAATTCAAATTTAACTTAAAGTCCATTGTTTTTATTTGCAAAATTTGGCAACTACAAAAATTGGATCTCAGTTTTGTCCTGTGTCACATGGAGAGAGTTTCACTCAGATCATTGGTTACTCTGAGGATTATAGGAGAACACCATCATAGATAGATTTTCTGTGAAGTTACCAAAGCTTGCACTTTACCTCCTCTGCATGGCCTACATGCGCAGTCTTATACATAGTTTTATATTTATAAATTTCTTAAACCTTCTCTTTGCCCTTAATTATATAAGCTTTGGGACTCTCAAAATTTCCATCTGCTTTTGGAAAACATATTACTGTTTACCTATTAGCTTGCACATAGATGGCACTCAGTAAGTCCCCTTTTCAAACAATAGGGATGCTATGAAGTTAATTCCTCTCTTGTGAATAAGACAGGTGACCGCCAAATGGCTGTCCTCACATTAGACTTCTGTATCCCTAAGTTCCAAAGTGCCATCCTCTAAAACGTGGCACAAGTCTCCCCTCTATCCCCAGATTGACAACACCTTCCCCATACTTTGTGAATGGGGAAGCATTAAGCATTGATATTTCCAGAAATTGACAGTGTGGGGCTCCTATTTGATGAGAGCTTTGGAAAGTCTGTAAATAATAATAAGTGATCCTGACTGTTTGCTACACAGCGGGTTACTCTACAGAATTTGCAATAAAGGCTGCTCAGGGCCTTAGGCAGCAGACTCCATTCCCATGAACTTAGCTGCTATACAAACTGTCAGACTCCATCTCTCCTGGAATCAGGCACACATATGTAGATGACCAGGCATTTCAAACTCATTAATCACTAGGAGCTTACATTAAATATGATAAAGGCAAAGAATCCATTCCCTCAAATTTGTGCAATGCTGTCATTTTTCCCTCTTCTTCCCAGATATCCTGCTTCCCACTAATAGCTACCAATCACTCAGTGTCTACTTCATAAGGAACCATGAGAAAAATTCCTCATGCATCTCAGGAACAGGAACAACTGTGCTGTCTCTCACAGCAGTGTGATTTTGGCCAGCAACATGGGTAGTCTCATGACTAATTGTGCTTTCAAACTATATTTGCCTGGATTATTAGGATAGTCTGTTTCAAAATTACCACCAACATGCAGGAACCTATCAGAACGCTAAGACCAGTATGGCAGGCACCAACATTACTGCTTCAATATATATTTTCTTCCAGCTTATCTTTCTTCTTGCTTTAATTTCCACAGATTGGTCTGTTTTTCTTCCACTGGTATGTGTATATTTCTGGAGACTACCTCAAGTTCTCTTTTCAAAGGAGAAGTATTACATAAATACATACATAAATAAATATTTATTTAGCAGCACTGAGGGAACATTCTGGTTAAATCTTTGGTCAGGACTTATTTGTATCAAGAGCATTGGAGGTCTGACTTTCCCAACTTAATTCTCTAGCATCGTGTGGAGGTGCAAATGGTAGGTGACATATTATTTGCTAAAATTTTAATATGAAAAAATATGATTCCATTGTATAGGAGGTAAACAAAAAAGTAAAATTGGACTTAATTTAGTTTGGCAGTTATATTAATAAGATGGAATTTGAGTGTTAGTTGAAGGGATACATTTCGATTTATGAGGTACTGGAGTAGGTCAAGAAATGTTTTCTTTTCAGTTATTACCACCCCCGGCTGGAGGCAAGTCTAGAAGTGGGGTGTGCAAGGACAGAGCTGATGGCTCTTTATGAGTGCCCACAGAAATATAATTATATGAATTCCAAGAAACTAGTAGCCTTCCTTTGTTGGCAGCCAGGTAAGTCAATAGAGACTCAGGAGGGAGTCTACTCTTGGTTTGGGAAAAAACTTAGACCAAAAAATGAATCATAGTAGAAAAGAGACCAGAGAGAGGGTTGTTTGCCTTCCCTCATGAAGAAGAATTAGTTTTCAGTACCCTGCTGAAGAAAAACAGGATTCTTTGCATTCATACATGCATTTCTCCTCCTTCTCTCAGGTCAATAACTCTGGATATCTCTTACAGAAGAATACTGCTATAGCACACTTGCTATACATTTTATTTAGTGATAATCCCTCAGTACTTACAAAGAGTTCCTGCTATTCTGACTATAAAATACATTTTTAATTGTTAAATTTTATATTAAAATTTTTAAAGCAACCTGAAAAAGTACATTTTGGAAAGTGTTTGGAAAAAGTACATTTTGGAAAATACCATTATAGAATGACATGAATTTTAATGCTGCTTTGTGTTGTGTTGGCAATACCTGAATCTGCAATTGAGAAGGTAATGGATCTTTCATAATCTCGGGGCTATTAATTGAATATGAGACTTGCATAAAAAAATTTGCATCTTGGAACTTGAGCATGGAACCACTCTGAGTATTGTATTCTTTCACTCCATAAAAAGGATCATTTTTTAAATGGACTAGTTTTTTGAAACTACATTGGGAGGAAAGAAAATTCAAAAGAAAACATTTGTAAAATTAAACCAATGGACTATTGATCTGCAAAGAATATTTGCTCAAAAAGGTGACAAAAATCAACATGAATTTTGGTTGCCAAGACCTTTTTCCAGCTTTTCACAACTGGTGCTTTCAGGGCTTTGGCAGAGTTTGACACATGCACCCAGCCTGGCAGCTCTGTGTTCAGGCGCTTGTGTAAGCACTGGACTCATACAAGGGTGTCCCACGTTGCTCATTTATGGAATCACAGCAAAAGTTTTACCTTCCTTCCTCTTCCACTATTATCACTGTACGTATTGTGAGATGAACATTGTCATATACTAAAATTTACATACAACTGTATTTTTTGTTAACAGAGACCAAAAGGGGATATAATAAGAAAGCACAGTAACTTATTATTAGCAGTCTTAATAAAAAAGCAAGGTGGGGCCAGGTGTGGTGGCTCATGCCTGTAATCCCAGCACTTTGGGAGGCCGAGGCGGGCAGATCAAGAGGTCAGGAGATAGAGACAAGCCTGGCTAACACTGTGAAACACTGTCTCTACTAAAAATACAAAAAATTAGCCAGGCGTGGTGGCACACACCTCTAGTCCCAGCTACTCGGGAGGCTGAGGCAGGAGAATCTCTTGTACCCAGGAGGCAGAGGTTACAGTGAGCCCAGATTGTGCCACTGCACTCCATCCTGGGGAACACAGCAAGACTCCATCTCAAAAAAATAAATAAAATAAAATAAAGGAAGGTGGAAATGTCCACTTCATAGCTTATTCACCTCAGAGATATTATTACTAGGTTGAGGCTGAAGATTAAGGGTCGAAGTTGATGTTGGTTGACATGTAACTGCCTGAAGTCTGAATAGGGAGTTAATTTTGCAAATTAACCACTATGACTCCAAGTCTGCACTGAGACATTCACTGGCACTTTCGGTTCATTGTCCTTGGACCCCTTCTGTCCAATTTCCAGGCCAGAATTGAAGTTTGAAAATTGCTGGTAGACTACTATAATCTCTATTTCAGGGAAAGTAAGAATGAGTGCCAATATGAAAGGAGAATCTCCCCTCCATACTCAGTAACTTTCTTCTTTATATAGATTGATAAAGCAGGCTTCTTTTGTAATTACTCACTCATTAGTGTAATTCAGTTGCTGGCACAGATCTTATTTAAGCCCCGTTGACATAAAATGGACTAGCCTCTATGACAAAAGTTCTATCAGCAGACAGATATATAAATATATTTCACTGCGATTAGATCTTCACGATAACTACAAAGTAAAAGGCTGTGAATTGTTATGTTACATTAGATATGAGAAAATTGAAGCTCTATTAGTTTAAATGACTTGTCTCGGTCAATTAGAGTAAAAGCAGCAGAGTTGAGACTCAAGCCCTGCTAGGCGTTCCACCTGCAAATACTATGCTCCTTCATCTATATTATGCAATCTCCTCTTCATTAATAGATAAGACAGTAAAAATAGTCATTTTACTGGTTGCCGTTGTGGCCAGAAGTTGACATTTCTCTGTTGAAAATTGTTCACACTGAATATACACCCTCTGAGAAGTTACTCTGGCATTGAATTAACCTGCACTGCTTTAACTTTTCCACTTTTTCCCCAACTTTTACATTAACATCAGAAACTAATAGCAATATTAAGGACATAAATGTAATCATGTATTTGAACATATTTCGAGGGCTACTGAAGAAGCCTCCTTATTTTAGGATAATTATCAGAGTTCCACTGGAGTTGTCTCAGTGTAGGAAGTTCCATAGCTAGTCTTCGTAGATTGGGGTTATCAGCAGTCTTCAAACTTGGGGGTCACAGCATCCCAGAAGGGGCTCTTACTCTAGCCCTGGCTGATTCCAAAGATACAAGAATGTTTAATGTAAGAAACAGTTTTAGAAAAATGAGACAAATTATATTAAAATTTGCCTTAAGTTCACATTTATTTACGTGAACTCTTTGGCATAAGGCATTTAATACTCTCTTTAAAAAACATGGATGTGAATAAGTGAAGTAAAACATATACAGGGAAAAAGGATTCCAAGTTATTGCAGATAATTACTTTTCAGGTCAATTTTTATTTCTTTAAACCACTCACTTATCCATAGGAGTCAAGGCTTTGACTAACACAAAGTCTAACACTAGAATTTGAAAGCAGACTTTATTCATTTGCATAAAAGATAAAGCCTGCCACCAAGAAAGGATTTTGTCTTTCTTATAAAGAAGCCAACATTACCCTAAGCCATAATAAGTTTTGAACACTAGGTTTCTTGTTTGTAGATTGTATGACTAATATGAAAGACAATTACTAAATAGTATAAACTCAAGTTACATCCTTCTATCCTCTCATTTCTCAATATCTTCAAATAAAACAATGCCATTTTGGACACAGGCTAATGGAACTGGAATGTGCTTCAGGGCAAAGAACTTGGTAAGCAAGGAAAGTCATAAAATTATGCCTTTTTTTTTTTAAATTAAGAGAGACTAATGGTGCACTTTTCTGTTTAAGATATGCCAAAAATGAAATTAGAAGATGTGTTGTCTAAATTTTTACTCCTTCAGAAAGCATTTATTTTTCTCATACTTTCTGCTTGAAGTGTGAGTACTATGGTGTCACTGAATTCAAAGCTATTTTTATTTTTGTAATTTGCAGCTAAATCTGATCCCAAAAGATGGTTGTTAAGGATGAACATGGCTCTTTCCACTGAATTTTCAGTAAAATAATTATAATGGGGATTGATTGGTGGATTAACATAAAAATTAAAATACAAAATCCCCTTGTTCTTACATGGCAAAATAAGGTAAAATCTCTTATTCTTAACTGCCTTTTCCTGAAACAGTGTATAATTCCACCATTTGTTCTCTTTAAAAGAAAGATTTGGGCTAGAGAGAGACAGCTTAAACTCGTCTCATCTGCTTGCACCGCTCTCCAAGTAGGTAATTGCAGAAAGAAAAGACAATTCTTTGATCTCAGCGAGGTGCTAATTTGTAAGATTTTTGAGCTGTTTGGGCCTTAGGAAGCAGGGATCAGTACGTAAACAATGGCATTTATCTGGCAGCCTATTACTGACACATTACTATCTCAGTACTTATTCATTTACACTGGTGTTTGAAGACAGGACTATGTGTCAATAAAGGAATTAGACCAGACACCTCAGTCCATCAGGTTTATTTCAGTTTGCTGACAGGAACAGTAGGTGACATTAAGCAACAGAAAACACTTCAAAGTTTTCTATCCTTGGTTTTGCAATGAAGACAAACAACATTTACTGCTTTAGCAGCAACAAACAATGAGCGTAAGACTGCAGAGGGAAGATGAAAGAGCACACCAAATTATCAAACACAAAGCCTGCCCCTACCCCATTTCTACTCATCCCCTGAATTTCATTAGAGCGATTTTTTAAAAAGAGCTTCCAGTGATAAGTTGTGTTCATTTGGACCTCTTAGAAGACAACTCTCTTGAGAAGGACGGTAGGAAATGAATGAATAAGAAAATTTTACTTGACTGTTCAGTAGCTACTTTTTTTTTTTTTGACCAACTTTTCTTTTAAGTTCCAGGGTACCTGTGCAGGATGTGCAAGTTTGTTACATAGGGAAACGTGTGCCATGGTAGTTTGCTGCACAGATCAACCCATCACCAGGTATTAAGCCCGGCACCCATTGGCTGTTCTTCCTGGTGTTCTCCCTCCCACCCGCCACAGGCCCCCGTGTGTGTTGTTGCCCCCGATGTGTCCATGTGTTCTCATCGTTAAGTTCCCACTTGTAAGTGAGAACATGCGGTGTTTGGTTTTCTGTTCCTCAGCAGCTACTCTTAATTAAATATTTCAATATTCATTTATTTAAACATCTTTTCAATAAACAGTCAAGGTGTGTCCACTATAAACTAGACCTGAATAAAGATGATACTATTACTTTTACAGATTCCTGGAACTATGAAAGGTAACATGAAGTTATAATACAGCACCATCTTAGGCAAATGCAAGGTTGTATTTGAGGCGCTGTGGAAATAAGGTAGATGAACTGTGTCTCAGAGGGATTGCCAAATGCTCAAATGGATTGGGAAATGTTTTTCAATTAACATGTAAATTGAAAAACACTTGAAAGAAATACTTTCCTGCATCATCAAATAAAAATTCCTCTCAGATTTCTTCCTCTGTACATCTCAATTTGGAATGATTTACCAGTGTTTGGGTATGCTTTACATACAACTTTGTTAAAATTTTGAAATATAGATTAATTAGCTTATTCAGTAAATATTCATTGAATGAATGTTATAGCACTCCTTGTTCTAGCCCGACACAGTGCACAGAACAAGACAGTCTAGATCCTTGTTTTTATGTGGGATGGAAAACAATGAACTGAAAATGTTGTGATGCTGAAAATTACATAAAGGGAAAGAACAAAGTGGTGGGATAAAGAGTGAGTGGAAGGAGGTGGAAGTAACATTAATAAAATTGGTACTGTAGACTGAGTGGTCATGAAAAAAAACTGTAATGATAGGAAGTAATCATGAAGTAAAAGGAACATTTAGGCAGCGGGAAGAACAGATAGGACAATATATTGACATGCTGGAAAAACAAAGGGCTGGACAATATATTGACATGCTGGAAAAACAAAGGGCTGGTCTAGAGAAGGGATAGTGAACGAGGGAGAGAGTGAGGTAGCAGATGAAAGCTGGAGAGGAAAATGGGGGAGAGGCTATACTGAGGAAGGGAGGGGATATTAGGAGATGAAGGCATAGACATAAAGGAGATCAATTTGTAGGTGATTTCAAGTACTGGTAATAATTTTAGAACATACTCTATTTAGAAGGTATTCTAGTTTTGCTTAACCCATATGCAGCATTTGACCTTGTTAATTTCTCCTTCCTCATGGAAACCCTTTGCTGCTTGGCTTTCAGACACCACACTCTCCTGGTTACCTCCATCTTCACTGGCTGCCCCTTCTCAGTCTCCTTTGCTGGCTCTTCCTCATCTTCCAGTTTACAATGGAGTGTCTCAGGGCTCCGTCTTCAGACTTCTTCCCTTTTCTATTTACATTCACTTCCTCCATGATCTCACTCAGTCTCACGGCTTCAAACAACATCTGTAACAGAATGACTACCAAAATTATATTTCCAGCCTCTACCTCTCCTTTCAAATCCACATTTAAACATCCAACTGCTTACTTGGCATCTTGGCTTGGATGTGCAATCTGCATCTCGAATGCACCCATCCTAAAACCAAGTTTCGTGATATTCTCCCCTAAATCTCTTCTTCCCTTAGACTTCCTTATTTTAAGTAATGGCTGTTCCAGACTTTCAGTTGATCAGACTAAAAACCCTGGATCCATCCTTGCTCCCTCTGTGCCCCCTCCTCACAGATGCTGAGCATGTTTTCGGCTCACCCAGTTCTAACATTTCACCTAAAGTAGAGCAGTAGAGTTCTAAGTGGTCTCCCCACCTTGGCCTTTGTTCCCCTTCAGACAATCCTCATCGCAGTAGCCTGTGTTCCTTCTAAACCCTAAGCCAGAGCCTGTCTCTTCCCTGCTCAGCACCGTACTCAGAGTCTACAAGGACTCAGGCCCTCCCTAACCTAGACTCTGTCATCTCTCTAACATCATCTTGAATTCTCCCCACCTCTCTCACTCTGCTTCTTGCTGTTCCTGCACTTGCTTTTTCTGCTCCGTGGAATGCTATTACCCTCAAACTCCACCTCCTTTCTGACTCACCTTCTTCAGGTCTTTACTGAAAAGGCATCTTCACAATAAGGCCTTTGCTGACAACCCTATTGAAAGTTGTAATGCCTCCAAACCCCATCTCCTTGCCTAGCTCCCTGCTTTATTTTTCTCCAAAGCATTTATCACTATTTAACATGCTATCTGATTCACTTTTTTTTGGTTTATTATCTATTTCCCCTCATTAGAGTGTAAGTTACATTTGGCAGGGATTTTTGTCTGTCTATTCACTGCCATCTCCCCAGCAATGAGAATAGTGCTAGGAACATACTAATCAGATACTAATATATGTCAAATTAAAAAGTGGGAATCTGTGCAAAAACTTAAAAGCAGGAGGTGACAAAGTCTGACTGTGCTTTGAGATGATCATTCTGACCACTCTGTAGAGAATGGATTGGGTGCAGCAGGGGTTGGAGTTGAAAATGTAAATAGAAACACCATTTAGGAAGCAAGAGCAGTAGTCCAAGTAAGAGGTAATGGTAGCTGGGACTAAGTGATATTAGTAGAGATGAGGAGAAGTGGATGTGTCCAAAATTTGTTTAGGGGGCTGACTTAATAACATTTATAATTACTTTACAGCCAGAATATATCTGGTTATTTCTATGTTGAACACAGATATACAGCTTCTCAACTCTGATTGCTTTTTCTCCTTATACAAAGAATACTCAAATGAATGCTAATAAACTGGTTCTTGTTGGAGAGAGTTTAGGCAATGATCTAAGATGATTCCTAGATTTTCAGCTTGAATTACCTGGTAGGTGAAGGTATCATTTACTGAGAGAGAGATAAGGGTAGGAAACAATTTTAGGAATTATTTCATTTGAGGTACCTCTTAGACATGGAATAAATGAGAAAAAGGCAATCGGTTATATAAACATACCCTACAGTAGAGAGGTCAACTATAGTGATACAAATTTGAAAGTCATAATGTGTAAATGGTTTTTAAAACTGTGGAACTAGATAAGCTAATGCAAGAAGAAAATCAAGATGGAAGAGAAATGAGGGTTCTGGAACATACCAGCATCTAGAAATTGAACAGAGGAGTCCAGCCAAAGAGGCTGAGAAGGAACATTCTGGAAGCATGGCATTTATTGAGAGGAAATTTTATTCCCCTCATTAGTAAACATGAATTACAAAAAATAGTAATTATTGTATTTTGAATTTTGTATTTAGAAAATTTTGTATTTAGAAATGTATTTAGAAATGTATTTAGAAGATTTGTTTTTTCTCATTATCTTTCATTTTGCTTCTTCCCACAAAGCCTAAAAGGACTAAAATATTTGCTATTTTGTCCTCATAGAAAAAGTTTGCTGACCCTACTTTAGACTATTTTTTTTAACACAAGGTCTCTGTCACTCAGGCTGGAGTGCCGTGGTATGATCACAGCTCACTGTAACCTTGACTTCCCAGGCTCAAGCAATTCTCCCATCCCAGCCTCCCAAGTAGCTGGGACTGCAGGTGCACACCACCATGCCTGCCTAATTAAAGAAAACTTGTAGAGACAGGGTCTCCCTATGTTGCTCAGGCTGTTCTTGAACTCCTGGCCTCAAGTGATCCTTCTGCCTCAGCCTCCCAAAGTGCTGGGATTACAAGTGTGAGCCACTGCACCCAGCCTAGACTAATTCTTTCACATTGCTGAAAGATAAACTGAGACCTGGAAATTTTAGCTTGCTTTTCAGGGTTACCCAGAAGGAGATCTATGACTCAAAGCCAGGCCTGAATGTCTGGTTGCATTTCTATTCCAATATGCCATTCTGTATCTCTGTTGTGTACACAATAGGCTAGCAAATATTTATCTCATAAAATATGACAGAAACTTAATTATATTATTGAAATGTTTTTTCAATAAAATACTTAATAAATGCAACAACATTCCAATAGCAGAATATACTTGATTAATAGGATGTAATTTAGTGTTAATTAAAAGACAGCCATTTGACTTATTTAATTTAAATTCAATTGAGAGAAATCTATCTGTCTGACTGAACTGTTAAATTTTTTTAAATAGTGTAAAGGATTATGAAAATTACCCAAGTAATTAATGTCAATGAATGGTGTGCAATCCTAAGTGTTTAGATAGGTATCTTTTCTTGCTTGTACCTCAAACTAGAGAATTAATAATAGGTACCAGGGTAAGGTGGGAAATCATTTTGGGCTTGGGAATTAGTAGTTGGTACCATTCTTTTCTGTCGTTCTACATTCTCCAAATGTCTTCATTCCTCACACACTCAAAACTTACAAATTTCCCATAACCACATTTCTCAAATATTTACCATTAATTTTTCTGTATTGTTGTTAAATGCACACAGCATAAACTGTGCCATCTTAATAATTTTTAAGTGTAGAATTCAATAATGGTAAGTATATTCACGTTGTTGTAAAGCCAATCACCAGAAACTTAATTTTGAAAACTGAAACTCTATACACATTAAGCAATGACTCCTCACTTTTTCTTCCCACTAGTCTCTGGCAACCACCATTCTGTTTTCTGTTTCTATGAATTTGATGGCTCTAGTTACCTAATATAAGTGGAATCAAACAGTATTTATCTTTTTGTGACTGACTTATTTCATGAATGTAATGTCCACAAGGTTTATCCATATTGTATCACAGGTCAGAATTTCTTTCTTTTTTAAGGCTGAATAATATTCCGTTGCATGTATTAAATATACATCATATATTGTTTATCCATTCATCTCTTGACAGACATGTAGGTTGCTTCCGCCTCCTGGCGATTGTGAATAATGCGGCCATGAACATCGGTGCACAACCATTTCTTTTATAACCTGGATTACATGTCCTCAACTCTCACTGCTTTTCTCCTCAGAGCATTTAAACTATTTTTCATGATATTTTTGACTCATGAGAATGATCTTTAAAGAAATGAAGAGAAGGCACCTCTCCATTAGGAGTGTTAAGCAAGTGTAGGAAACCCTCCCTGTAAATGTCTTTTTTTGCTACCTTGACTAAGATTGGGGTGCCCATCCCTGGACCATTCTAAAAACACAATATTATTGAAGAAAGTATGGAAAGAGAAAGGGGCCCAGCATCAAGAAACACGTGTATAGGCTAATTGGGTAGATTTATTAGCACGTGGTAGAAACGTGTATAGGCTAATTGGTAGATTGGGTAGATTTATACCTGAGTCCCCAGGAAGCTATTGCAGGAAGACACTTTTAATAAATTGCCCATGTTTAGTAGTTGGCTGCAGGCAGGGCACAGTCTTGAGCACCTGGCTAGGGAACCAAAAGTTAGACCAATGTGCTTAGAAAGTAACAAAACTGTACATTTTTATAAGTACAGCATTCATTATAAGCAAAACTTATAAAACTTTGTAAATCTGAATTTATTATGAACTAGCCATAGATGAAGCCTCTCTGTGATTAGAAAGATGTGAATTTGAGTCTTGGCCCTCCTGCTAGCTATGACTTTTGACAAACCACTGAGCTACACTGAGCCTCCTATTCCTCACCTCTTATACAGAAATTATAATGCCTGCCTTGTGGGCTTATTTTGAGTACTGCAATACAGATAACATTCAGTAAATGGTAGCTCTTTTTTCTACTTTGATATCTACAATTGTTAATGATAGAGGCTGAAGGTCAGGCTAAGGAAACTCTTCTTTTCTCATGGGAACACACAAATTATCAATGCAAAAGAAAAATTTTAGTATTAGTAAAAATTGAAGTCCTAACTTAACATACACATACATGGAATCACAAATGTGACAAAATGTATCCATTATAAATGTCTTTTCTTCTGAAACTTTAGATGCTAAACATAGGTACTTTTGAAAAAATACACATATTCCAGGTTTGTGAGTAATTCAGTATTTATAAAGCTGGTATTTAGACATTAATGCCATTTGGAGAAATGGTACTTTTCATTCTGTCTGTGCTTGGATTAATGTTATGCATCAGAGTCTAAGAATCCCCTAAATAAATACCATATATTTCTGAATGTTGACTTTCTGATTCTGCAGCCAATCCTTTTAATGAATTTCAATGCACAATTCAAAGTCAGCATCCTATTTCCTAAAAGCCCATAGTCAAATTGTGGACAGTTTCCTTAATGTGTTGAGGGTCCTAGTAAGGCACATACAGCTTATTAGTTGCTAATTGCTCCTATTCAGGAATGAATATTACTCAGGTTTTTTTTGTTTTCTTTTGTTTTGTTTTTTTGAGACAGCGTCTCACTCTGTCCCCCAGGCTGGAGTGCAGTGGCACAATCTCGGTTCACTGTACCCGCGCCACCCGGGTTCAAGCAATTCTCCTGCCCCAGCCTCCCAAGTAGTTGGGATTATAGGCATATGCCACCACGCCTGGCTAGTTTTTGTATTTTTAATAGAGACGGGGTTTCACCATGTTGGCCAGGCTAGTCTTGAACTTCTGACTTCAGGTGATCCACCCGCCTTGGCCTCCCAAAGTTCTGGGGTTACAGGCGTGAGCCACGGCACCTGGCCTCAGAGTATTTTTAAGAGAACGGTAAACATGAGTGTAGGAAAATGCAGGGAAATGACCCTTGAAAATGTAAATTTCTCTGGACCTGCTGTTCATGTCTCTGCTCCTGTGTCACCTTACAACCAATGTTTCAACCCTTTGGAGGAACAGAATGGATACAGATTACCTGTTCCATGTTCGTCAAGAAGGGGAAGTATTTTTATGGGGAATGTTGATTCTCATACACTTCAAGTCCAGTTAATCACCCATCTACATCGTAAGAGGGAAGGCTGCCTTGATCATCAATGAACTATATTCCTTTATGGGTATTCAGGTATTGTCTAAGAAACTGAAAGGGGCAGAATGGGACTTCATAAATAAATATGTTTATCCAACATATGTGTGTTGAACACCGGCATATGTTCCATCACCATGGTGAGACACAGTGATGTGTAGCCTGAAGTCCCATCCCAAAGTTTCTTAGTATTATGAGAGAGAAGATATACATAATTATAGCTAATACTTATTGGGCACTTACTAAGGACATTTACGTATATTAATTTGTAATCTGCACAACAAGCTTTGAAGTTGGTACTATTAGTCTTCCCCCTCCCCATAATATTGAGGCAGCAAGGATTAGTCCTTGCTCAGGGTCACATAAATAGCCAGGAATTAAATCTCAGGAAATCTGACCCTTCAAAACATAGTGATTCTCTTGCACACACACAAAAGCACTGTGGCAAAAAGTGATGGATATCAGAACATGGGAAGATATATTGAAATTGGGTTTCAGAAAAGGTATCCAGAAGGCTGACCTTCAAATGGGGCTTTGAATATTAGATAAGACCTGGATGTGAGGAGGAAAGTGAGGAACTGGAAAGGTTGGTAAAAGCTCAAGGTCTGTAAAGATATAGAAATTGCTATGGAGCATAGCATGCATGAGAGATTGTTGGTTGTGAAGAGGCAAGTTGCTCCAGCCCATAGAAGACTGTGAAATGCAAGATTTAATGATTATTACTTTATTTGGTAGGTAAAGGGCAGCCAGTGAAAAAATCCTCAACAGAAAATGGACATATTTTGAAGTGGTTCTTTAGGAAGATTAAGCTATATGTTTGCAGATGGAATTAGTGGAGAGACAGACTGAAGGCAGGGAAAAGTCAGGATGCTATTGCTTACTTAAAAGTTAAAATCCTAACTATGCAAAGAATAATAAAGGTTTAAGCTAGAACATTGTTAATGCAGACTGAGAAAGAGATGGATATCAGAAAATACAGATGAGATACAGTATCAACAGAACTGAACACAGTAGCAGATTTCAGCAGAACAGTTCCTGAAAGGAGCCTCGAAAGATGTACTTGGTTTTTATTAGGTAGAAAGGAGGTAGGCAAACATTCTTAGTGGAGAAAATAAGCAAATATTAGTTTCTGTCTTTCTTCAACTATTTTGAGAATACCCAGCCTTCAGAATCCTACCCTGGCACTGACTAGGATTTCTGTCTTATCAGTCTTGACCTCCCCTAAAATGATTATGAGATATCCAGTGGGTACTCATTATAGACCTGACGATTTTCAAATGGAGAGAATAACTGTGGGTTATTGGAAGTTATATATTCATGTCTCCTACATAATGAAATGATTTTTAATGCTGAATCAATGTTGGGTTTTTTTTTTAATTTCTCTTTTTTTTCCTTTTATTAAAATCAGAAAAGTCTTTCAGAATGATTACTGATTCAGATATTTTAAGGAATTAAAAGTTTTTTTCTTACAGATTAACACTGTTCTACTGTTAGAAGTTAAAAGAAATCATGTAACTATGGCTAATATTTATCCTACACAGATTGCTTTTATGAAAGCATCTTTGTGTGTGTAAAAGTGCTCAAAATTGGGAAAATACTTATACATTAGCCACCTGGTTAGAGTGGCTACAGAATATACAAGCGTATAAAGGCTATTTTATGTATTTTACATTTTTAAAATAACATCTATTACTTGTGGTTAGTGATCTTTCATTGCCTTTAATTTGTGGACACTTTCTAACCACCACTTGTGGGTCTTCAGGGAGCAAACCCTTTCACAGAAACTTTTATTTGCCACCATGAAGACTGTGAGGATAGAGAGACAATTCAATATTTATCCTGTGTTTAACAACATCCTTTGAGAGTTGAAGCAAGACTTTCAATATGTAAAACCGTAGAAGAAAATAATCCTCAAATCCAACAACTCCCTAGAATTCTGTGGAGAATGGGTCAAATGGGGCTGTTCCAAGTACATCAAGTCTAGGAAGTACTTCCCAGCATATTTCACAAAAGAATGGCTTGAAACAATGTAACCCCAGAAAAATAAAGTAAAGCTCTAAGGGAAAAAATAAAGACTATTGGAGTGTATTCTTATGAGATATAGACTTATTCTCACCCAGTCGTCTGTGTCTCAGTAAAGTCATGGGCCTGACAAAGTCATCTCTTCCATTTTCTAAGTGCAGGACACAGATAGACATTCTACCTTGCTGAATTCCAGTCTTTCCACATGTAAATTAAAGAAAATTATACCTGATTGACTCACATATATCATGGGGTACTGTGTGGGTCAGAATCAAAATAAGGTATGTTTTATAAACTGTGACATATTATACATAGGTAAGATGTTATTATCTTGAAATGTAGTTGATAACATATTATACATAGGTAAGATGTTTGTTCTTATCTTGAAATGTAGTTGATAATACCCTATCTTTTCTACCTTGTAGACAGGTTGTAAAGACAGATATGGTAACAGATACCAAAACTAAAGGCTTGGAAAGAAAATATATAATCTCTCATTACCTTTTATTTAATTTTATTAACATAGTAATAATGAAGAAATCCCATCTGTTTTGGCCTTCACTCTGTGGGAAAAAACTGAAGTGCTGGATTGATTTTCTTTTGACTCAAATAGAAGACTTAAATCTGGAAAAACTACACTTTAGCAAGTTGAGGATATATGACTAGGCTATATCTATAACAAGGGGTGTTTAATTGTATATTCTTTCAGCATATTCCTACCTTGAAAGTGTAAAGGTATCATTTTTTTCTTTAAATGGAAGGCTAGGACTCAGACTTTCATCCCTGAACTTGTTAAAGACATGATGTTTCAAACTGTAGTGCTTTGTTGATTCTGAAGAATATTCAAACATTTAATAATGGAGGCAAATTTGTTCCTATGACCTGCCCTTTAAAGTTCTCTATCCTGCTGGTTCCCAACAGAAACAGGTTCAATGCCAAGTAAGAGACTCAGAACAAAGCAACTTAAAATCAAAGCAGGGAGTAATTACATTTTTCATATTTTTATTTGTTCATTTTTCAGCGAAAGGCAAATAGCTAGATTATGTGCTGTCAAGTTTAGAAGCTCAATTAATTTTTAGATCAAGGCAAAGTACAGCATTTCAGTCAAAAATATTCATTGTTTCTCACTTACATGCTGAGTTGAATCACCTTAAAAGACATCAGCATAATATGGATGTTTGAAGGCTCTTGAGATTCCTAAAGAAAAGAAAATGGGCTCAAAACAAAGAAAGTGCACTGATTTTAACAGGGTCCACATCAGCCATTCTGTTGATGCAGTTTTAACAATGATTACAAGAAGGTGCTCAGGGACTTAGCTGTACATATATTAGAATTATAAAAGAGTGGCACTAAAACATTTTGGTTGAAGAAATCACTTCTTACTGTATCTGTAAGTTTAAAAGACTCTCCTCTTTAATATCAAGTAAGTAAACAAAATATTGGATATTTGATTATGATATAGTGAAGTTTGCCCAGGGATAATAAATTAATAGTGAGATAATATTTTAAATCCTGCCATCCTTTAATTGAGGCAGCAGCTAGACTTTAGAAATTCACACAAGAATGTAGATTGCAACATAATCAAATTTCTAACTTTTGAATTCAAAAGTCTAGCCATGACCATAAGACAAAAGATTAGTAAGAAGAAAATCAGAGGAGTAAGTGGAAGCTCGTGTTCTCTGTCCCCTTGATTTCTCTATAGAGAACAACGTGAGTTGGGAAAGAAAAGAGTCAGAGGGAAACAGAACCTTCCAAAGAGCTACAGTACTTTGCCTCTGTCTCAGAGTTAAATAACTATGGGAGGGAATAGCAGACATGTTTGGGAGACCTGAAAGCAGAAGAAAACTGTTTCCTCTTTCCTAAGTGAGCCTGGAAATGACTGTGCTGCATCTAGGACAAAGGGCTTGAGCTGTCCCACAGAGTCCCCTGCATCTAGGACAAAGGGCTTGAGCTGTCCCACAGAGTCCCCTGCATCTAGGCTTGGAGTGGAAGTAGTAGAATGGTTCCATTGCATTCAAGAGCAGCTAGGAGTTGATGAGGTCTTTTAGAGGCAGCCCTGGCAAAGTACCTGTAGCCTCAGTATGGAAGAGAAGTAGCAGAAAATCCTGCTATCAATGAAAGTAGCACTAAGTTCAACAAGATAGCTGGTAGATGTGAATAGCCCTTTCTATTGGAAATATAATACAATCCTCCGTGCTCTCCTCAAAATACTTTGGTGCTATGGAAATCTAGCTCTAGGTACTACAGCTCCAGGTACTAAATACTAGGTCTGATGGGTGAGGTTAGAAATTGCCTGAGATCAAGTTTCTATCATCTGGCATTATGAGAGCTTGCAAAGTTCACAAAGAGAAAAAAGAGACTTTGCATATTTGCTCCTTATTTGAAATTTACATACGACAAATTACATTTCTCATAATAAACTAGGGAATATGTAAGCCCTGGGCCTTTCTGGAAACACTCCTCTAGCTTCCTTCCCAGTTCTTCATTCCTTGGGTTTGAGTTCTCTGTAGCTCACTGCCAAATCACTTTCTCTTTATCGTTACCCAGAAGCCTGTCTAATTCAAGCAATGGGTTAGACTCCTGTCTTCATGGTAGTTTTTATGATAACTTTATTTGATCATATCTACTCGAGTAAAACTCTTAATATACTTTAATAGCTTATGCCTTTTTCAAAGTACCATATTACCTTCAGCAAGCGGAAGAATCAGACACGTTGATGGAGACTTGTCATCATATGAGTATTTTAAATAGTTTGTAGTTACTACCCTCCGAGTCACGCCCTTTCTCTACCTTGATTGGCTGAGTTTGTGCCTAAACATGAGTAGTCACACTCAACATACCAGAATGTCTTTAAAGGATATGTTGAGAAATTTCTTGCCTCCTCTTCCTTTTTCCTCCACCTATAACCCAAGTGCGTATTACTGCCACACTCCCGTTCAACACACCTCTACTTCAGCTTGCTTCCTTCAGAAACTGGGTTTCCTTATATAACTTCTTTGTGACAAAACATCTGTTTTTTTTTTTTTTTTGATTAACACAATATTCATTTTTTAACTTTTCATTCCAGCTGTTTGGCTTGGAGGAATCCTCAGAACCTAAGGAAAAATGAAGTCTCAGTCCTATAAGTTGAGTGAAGTACAGTGTTCCTTTGAGCTACCAAATTGTACTAGTTAACCTAAAGTGACCTCTCTGGTTTTTAAGTGGCCAATTTAAACCACACTCTATAAAAGGGACCATACTATATAGCTTGAGTAAACTTTGAGAGTGGTGTCTATAATTAGAATGCTATACCGAAATGACTTGCTGGCATGTTGTCATCTGTGCATACTGAATACATTTCCATAAAATTGTTTCAGTTAATTTTTCTTTGGGTTCCATCGTGGGGAGCCTGCAATTCACTGCCCTTGTACTTCTTCTACTGCCAATGAGTCCCTGTGAGCACCAGCACGTCACTGAGATCTTCTTAGCTACATGAGTGGTCTGCCCATGGTTTTTTTCTCATGCTTGTGTTGGGTAGGGGTGGCGGGGAAGGGAGAGAGTGGGAGATGGGAGAATCAAAGTTTTAAAAAAAGAAATCTAAGTGTTGTTTTAAGCATTAATGCTAAGCTCCAGATATACCTCTTTCTCGGGGTGGTGTATTCTGCAACCAAGAATGCTGAACATTTAAAAATGAAGGTCAGGAAAAAAAAAAACTATGTCTTCATTTTAAAAAGTTTCCCATCCACTATTATTTCACTTCCCCCTGTCTTTGGTTACACTGGCCACTGCTTTAGCACAGGGATTGAAAAGGTTTGTAAGTAAAGCCTTATGAGGTCTCAGCTGTAACTACTCAACTCTGCATTTGAAGCTAGAAACCAGAGATGACGTGTAAGTCAATAGGCATAGCAGTATTCCAATAAAACTTTATTTGTGGGTACTGAAATTTGAATTTCATATAATTTTAACGTGATAAAATATTTTTGATTTTTTTCATCTTCTTAGTAATGTAGAAGCCATTCTGAACTTACAGGGTATAGGAAAACAGCAAGAGGGATGGGTTTGGCTCTCAGGTCACAGTTTGGAGACCCCTGCTTCAGCACTACCTAGGTATGGAGAATCATAGTCACTTCCTTGGCTCAGCATAAAAACAACTGTTTGTTGTATAACTTCAACTTGACTATTCCCTCCAGCCACAGCCAAACATCATGGATGAGGAGGAGTTTTCATTCATCCTTCAAATGCTTCCATTTCTTAGCTTCCAACAGCTTCTATGATGCAGCAGGAAAAGTTCTCAGCTACTTACAGCCTATGCTGGTGCCCCTGGGTGTCCCAGACACCAGATCTGATTATTACCACACGACTCCAATGTCATTCATGCAGGCCAATTTGCTTTGGCCATCTAAAAAAAGCTGCCTCCGTCTGTCTCTGTGGGTAAATTCTGTAGTGGAAATGAGCAGGCCTTTGCTTTCAGAACACAAGCCCAGAGGGCACTTTTGGCACTGGGACTCTTGCAGAGAGCGCCAAACCACAGCTGTGAAAGGAGTGTGAAGGGGGATGTCTGCAACGGCCCAGGAAATAGCCACCCAGCTGGAAAGGGATGTCAGGAAGTGAGACAGCTTAGGGACAGATCAGGCCTCAGAGGAGTGTGAGCAGCTGGCACTGGTACCCTCTTTTAACTTGCTAGCATGATGTGAGACTCCAGGCCTCCGTGACTGCCACTGACTCCCTTTCCCTTCCTTGGCAATCCATTCAACCCTCTACTCCCCCAGCATTACCCAGTTCTAACTAGAGAAACGGAGTGTGCCAGGTTCTAGAGGATACTTCCTCTTCTTGGTCCTGGAGAAATGAATATTTATCCTTTGAAAACAAAAAAAAAGACTCTTTTCATACCTTTGACTCCGATTGTCAATATCCATTTGCTTTCAAAATTTCATCGCAGAAATCTTTCCCAGTTGCTTCTCTGCTCTTATTCTCACTTCCTTTTCTCCATACCTACAGAATGTTACATATGTCTATATATGCATTCAGCTTTTGCAGCACTGTGATTTGTAATATAATTTTGGTTTTCTTGGCCATCTCTTCTAGATTATTAGAGACCTTGGGACAAGAACAGTGATTTATATTCTTTGTATCACGAATTATCCCTCGTATATTGTTCTGCACATAGTGGATCATCCGTTAGTCCATTTCGTTAATGAAATGTGTAGGGGAGCTTTTCTGAAGATGCCTATGCTGGGCAGGCTGTCATTGTTCACACATTTACCTTTTCTCTAATAGTTGCTGATGTCTGCATTCTCTTCATACCATTCCACTGGTGCACTTTTTGTCACAAGATGTGAGGATGATCTGGCTGCAACAATCATTACCCCACTAATCTCTAGTGCCAATTTGATGGAACTGGCTATTAGGATTTGCCACTATTTGCCTTTTTTTCTTTAGCCATTGTCTCTATCAACTAAATATAATACATATATCTACACACATATTCTATTTATTTCAATCACCTATTTCCTTTAAGACCATAAAATATAATAATCCATAATTATATCACAAAAATGATCACTGCTAACATTTTAACACCAAATTCTTTATTCTGCTTCAGCCTTTATTTTTAATTATCTTCTCAAAATATTTACTAATGTACTATTTTTTGAGGAGATCAATAGATTCAGAGTTATATATCAAATAAGCCAGTCCAGAAATTCTATTGACAGATAGAAAATAACTATAGGTGTGACATAAATTAATTTGTTTTCTTATGAGTGTATTTGTTTTATTTATAGCAAGGAATACTGATTCTTCATCTGTACTGATAATACATACTTTTCTTACTACATATGTTAACTTAAGTAAAAAAAGTCACTTGACATGCGGACACAGCAAAAGCCATCGAGAATGATAAGGTGAATTGTTCAAGTTTGGGACACGCTGTCTGAATTTATCACTGACTTATACACTGTACAAGGCACCATGCAAGGCACTGAAGTAGAGTCACGGGTGAGTAAGACATGGGTTCGCCTACTTAAAGCATTCAAGAGATTTCTCACTATGATGTTGTAAAACAGCTGCACACCATGCTTTCTGAGGCAAATATTTTCACCTCTACTATGAAACAGTGAAATAGAAGCTAGATGTTCAATAATAATCAATGTGCTGTAGAGTAGCTTGAAAGGTCTTTGAGGCTAGTCTTCTTTCCTAATTAACACAGCTCAAATGTGGCACTTGGGTGGCTTGGTCATGAAATTTTGGTAGTGTAATTTTGGCAGGGAATGGCAGTGGTGCAGGTTCCATGGTTTTACAAGTTCTGCAGCATTTGTGAAATTGTGGCTTACTGAGATAAGGGGAGATAGACTGTAGTGTAAATTGGGTTGCGCTGAACAGACAGATAGTATAATTGGCAATCACATTGTTAGCGACTACCAGCACCTCTGAGGCACTTGGTCTTTTTGAGGGAGTAGAAGGAGGGTAGAGAAACTGAACTCATTAGTTGGCTTTAAAATCTATTACTTGTAAAATGGTGCAGCCACTATGGAAAGCACAATGGCAGTTCCTCAAAAAAATTAAAATATGATCCAACAATTTCACTTCTAGGCATGCATCCAAAAGAAATGAAAGCAGGGACTTGGACAGATATTTTTACATCATGTTCATGGCACCATTATTCACAATATGGAAGCAACCCAAGTGCCCATTGACTGATAAATGGACAAAATGCAGTATATACATACATACCATGCAATATTATTCAGCCTTACGAAGGAAGGTAACTATGACACATGTTACACATGGATAAACTTAAAGACATTATGCGGAGTGAAATAAGTCAGTTGCAAAAGGAAAAATACTGTGTGATACTACTTATGTGAGGTACCAAGAGCAGTCAAATTCACAGAGACAGAAAGTGGAATAGTGGTTGCCAGGGGTTGGGGGAGGAAAGAATGGGGGGTTATTGTTTAAGGGGTATAGAGTTTGTATTTGGGAAGTTAAAAAGTTCTGGAGATAGATGGTGGTGATGGTTGCACAACAATGTGAAGGTACTTAATGCCGCTGAACTGTACGCTTAAAAATGGTTAAAATGGGCAGGTGCGGTGGCTCACACCTGTAATCCCAGCACTTTGGGAGGCTGAGTCAGGTGGAATACCTGAGGTCAGGAGTTTGAGACCAGCCTGGCCAACATGGCGAAACCCCGTCTATACTAAAAACACAAAAATTAGCCAGGCGTGGTGGTGCACACTTCTAGTCCCAGCTACGCGGGAGGCTGAGGCAGGAAAATCACTTGAACCTGAGAGGGAGAGCAGTTGAGATCGTGCTACTATACTCCAGCCTGGGCGACAGAGTGAGACTCTATCTCACAAAGAAAAAAAATGGTTAAAATGGTAAGTGTTGTTATGTATATTTTATCACAATTTAAATAAGAATAAAAGAAAAGAATCTAGTTTTCCTAACTTTTTCTTCTTAGAGTAGCTCTCTCCTGTGTTCCATGTGTGAACACAGTCTCTGCCAGTGGTCCACATTGTACAGCAGGCCAGATGCAATGCATGTGTACGACAAAGGGGTCATGTTCCAGATTGAGTTTTTGTTTTTCTATTTTATAATAACCCCATAACAAACCCTTTGCTTCCAGGTAGCTTTACGCCTGCTGGAATCTATTTCTTTGAAATGGAAAGTTTCACCACAGTACAAGTGTAACATTTTGTCTTTGCTCCTTGAAATGTTGTAAGCCACAGTTTAACAGGCAAACAATGGTGGAGGCCAATGAAATTACCCTTGGACAAAGGGTCTGCTGAGCAGTGTACTCTTGCCTCTACCATCAGTTTCCTTCATGAAATGAGCCAAACATTGACTGAGGCTCAGAGTGGAAAAGAATTTGTCCAAATTGGGCTCTAATGATAAAGAAGTATAAAGGAAAAAAAATTCCTTGGGAAAATTGATGCTGCTCCCTTCAGTTTTTGTAGACTATTTCCTATAATCTGCCTTGTGGCTTACCTTGCACTAAAGGAAAGCAATCCTTTCCTGTTAACATAACAAATAAAGACAAATCAGCAGGCTACTTAATGTGATGGTGAAGCATGGGCTCTGAAGTCAGTCTGCTTGTATCCCAGTCTTACCTCTAGCTGAGTGATCTAGGGCCTAGTTATGTAACCTCAGTTTCCTTATATGTAAAACAGGATGATAGTAATGGTATCGACCCCATGAAGTTGCTGTATGGATGAAATGAGTTATTATTTGTAAAGCACTTAAAGCAGAATGTGGTACCTAGTGTGGACTATATAAATACTCACTATTATTATTAGCTCCAGCATGCAGAGATAAACTCTCCAGGGCTGCTTGAAGGGTACAATGGCATCCTCATTACTGACTCAGGATGATGTGATGGAGCATGCACTTACAAGAGTTGGACAACTCATATTTCAGCTCAGGTGCAACCATTTATGCACTGTGTGACCTCAAACAAGTCACCTGAATACTTGAGCCTGAGTTTCATCACTACTAGAATTAGCAGTAAAAGAAACTGCCTTTTTCAGTCTCTTAATGTATAACTGTATGCATGCAAGTTGTAAAGGCTGTAATATTTCTGTTAGAATTATTATCTCTTCTTCTCTGTTTCTTTTACCTCTGGCCTGAAAGAAAGCGGAAAGAAAGCCTTTATTTTAAAAACATAATAGATATTTTAAATGATAGAAGTGGTATATATTTAATATACAAAATATGAAAAATAAGGAAAAGTATCTTAAAAATTCATTATTTTACACCTTAGAAAAAGCCACTATTAACGTTATGCTCTTTCTTAGTTACAATAATGTGTCTTAATGCTTAAGGTTTCTGTGTAGTTTTTTCTCTTCTCTGGGGCAAGATCGCAGTTGAGAAGGCCTATATATGAAACAAATTAAATGCTCTTGATTTTTTAAAGCTTCATTTTGTATAAGAAAATGGAAGATTTTATGTTCAGACTTATTGCTACAGGAAGAAAATGATAATAATTTGGCTATGTTTACAATGTCATATGAGAAGTAATTTCAAATATGCCTAATTCCATAGTATACCAAAAAATTAAAAATGGCTTTAATTTAATGTATTTTATTTCACTAATACTATGTACACCTGGGTAAAGAAGATAATGAATTATAAAGTTCTACAGTAAGGCCAGGCACAATGGCTCACGCCTGTAATCCTAGTGCTTTGTGAGGCTGAGGCAGGAGGACTACTTGAGGCCAGGAATTTGAGACCAGATTGGGTAACACAGCAAAGCTCCATCTCTACAGATTTTGTTTTTTTAATTAGCAGAGCATGGTGGTGCACGTGTAGTCCTATCTACTTGGGAAGCTGAGGTAGGTGGATTGCTTGAGCCCAAGAATAGAGGCTGTAGTAAGCTATGCATATTCCATTGCACTCCAGCCTGGGTAACAGAGAGAGACCTTGTCTCCAAATCAAACAAAAATAAAAACAAAGTCCTACAGTGTTTGCATGTATGACCTTAACAACTGTAAACAAAAATAAGGGCTTTCTTAAAGTGAGGCTATTTCTCTACTTGGAAGCAATCAATCCAAATAAACTCATTTCTGGAGAAATGAGTTGTCGGTCTGTGTTAGAAATGAATTTACCAAGGCTGGGTCATGACAGTAGTGTGGTTCAATTTCTCCATTGCTTATTTAAATTGCTATTGGGGTGAGAAAGCCTTGGGAAAAGCTGGCAGAAGACTTGGAAGAATCTAGGTGACTTCCTGCCTTTTAATAGTCACATATTACTTCTTGGAAAAACTGGCACTCATACTCTTCCCCATTTGTTGTGCCTCAACCTCCAGCCATCCATTCATCCTTCCCTTCCCTAATCCCCTCTCTCTATTCTTTGGAAGTCACAGAAGTTTTATATTAAGCATCATAATTCTCCACAATAAACAAAAGTATTAGGCATTTTCATGAAATAATCATTAGTCATTGGTATTATTTTTACCAGAATTAAAAACATTTCCGATAACTGAAAATTATGATTTGGTAAGAGGTAATGTCTTTGATCCTCCCTGCAATCTGGCTTTACTGGTGGTGGTAAATGAAACAATCCTCTTGCCCTGCTATAATTGTCTGCTATATTATATTCTTTCACGGAATTGTAGCTGAAGAGAAAGTAGAGATCATTCGCTGTGGGGAACATATTGAAGATCATAGATGGACCTCATGGTAAATATTTTTCCAAAACCTGCACCTTTTCAGACCAGTAACAGACCGACGGATGTGAAATGGATATTCTTTTTAACATGGATGTTAAATGTTTAACTGAGGCAATGGTTGATTGACATGTGTCTCTGTACATGAGAAACAAAGAAACCTGCTTTTCTTGTCCCAAGCCATCTCCTGGAAGCCTTTGCTCAGTTCGGTTAGTGCCCTTAGGTCAAACAAACAGAAAATTAAGAAAACAACATTCAAAGAAATGGTGGGTGGCAGAACAGTTGGAAGGATTGGAAAGGGCTCAGTATTTGCTTTATTTCTTCTGAGCTCATTACTTGCTCTGAGTAGGTTAGCCAGGAAGGGAAGATAAACACTATTTAGTTAATAAGTCCCATAAGAATCCGGCAGAATGTCTTTTCTGATTTACCATTGTATGGTTGGAATAAGCACAGTAACCTCTTTGCTTGTACCTTTTTCCCAACCAACTTTGAAGTCTACGAATAATTTACAGTGTGAATAAATGGCATGAGCAGGCTTTTCTCAGGTTAAGAATGTGAAATGTGTGTGAGACACGTTATGGGAAAAGGCAACATTATTTGGGCCTCATCTCTTAAGGCAATCAAATAGAAATATTTCCTGACTCAATATTTGCAGCCTAAAACTGATTTTCTTCTTTCCAGTTTGGGTAGTTAAAAAGCAGGAAGGAACGTGTCTATATTTTTTAGTAGTTGGTGACCCAAATTGACCCTCATGATTCATTCACCAGCTTTGGTCCCTATCAAACAAATAAAATCCCTTTAAGAGCTGGTTAAATACAGTGCTGGTGTAAACCAATTCTCCTCACATGGTTGAGCAGTGGGGCATCCTTGGTTTTCCGTACCTTAGGACCAAATGTAAATGTTCAATTCAATTAACCTTAAAAAAACATATGTGGCGATAGGGGTAGGAGAAGAAGGACAAAGGAAAAAGAAAAAGGGATTAGAGAAAAAAGGATATTCGTGGGATTTTCATTTAAATTTAATAAAATAATTTAAAAATAACTATGCCATGAAAATAAACAGTAATCGACAAGTAGTGAGGCTAAAATAAGTTTTATGTTATCTTTCAGAAAGGGAACAACTCTACATAATGTTGATGAGGCATTATAATGTGCACATTGATGGCTTTTGTTGAATCATCTGCACTCTCTGGTTCCCAGTGTGGTTGACCATGTACATTAAGGGATGGTAAGGGATAGAGTCTGTGCAGTGGAATTTCTTTCAATCTGAAACTATTTTGTCTATATTGAGTCTGTTTCTTTATGAAAAAGTTGAAAATAAGTAAATAAAAAATATGAACTTTAGCTTAAGTATTCTATCTTCTAAATTACTGAGGACCCAGTCACTTTTAAATTGACAATCTCCATAACAGGACAACATCACTAGTAATTATAAATAATTCTAAAGGAATCCTTGTATATCAGTAAAAAATTCTGTGAGCATCTGCTTTACCAATTAGATAGGCTGGTATTAAAACTCTGAACCTATGAAAAAGTATTGAACTTTGGAGTATTTATGAAAATATAGAAAAATTTAAAAAAATATGGATATAGATATTTTTTTCCATTTCAGTGTACTTCTCAACTGTACAAAATTAATAAAAATGTGGCATTATTACAGATATCATACTGAAGGAACAAGAGGTCCACAATGAGTAGAGATAGCTGTAGGTAATAATAATCTTTTTATTTTTGCTTATTTTAGGGCATAAAATAATTTATTTGAAAAAGGTTGCTGTTAATGGGAAATATCATGGTGCCCATGTTTTTGCCTAATGGTGTACTGTTTTCAGCTCAGATCCTGAACAAATAGTATCAAAGAAACAAAACTAATTGAACAACACAAGAACCCTTGTGTTAGACAACAAAGATGCAGGACCTAGCAAACCAAAAGAAAGTCATTCTTGGAGCACCAAACAGTAAACAGCAGGCATTCCTTAAAAACACTGTGGTCAAAGCTTTGGTACTCAAGAAGAACTTAGAGCTATCACAAATAGACTGTGAAAATATGTAAATGTAAGGGTCATAATAAAATGAATTGAACAGCATCATAGGCAGGGTGGAAGAAGAGAAGCATAGGATCCACAGAGGAGAAGCAAGAAGGGAGCCCCGGAGAGGACAACAGAAGGGGAAGGGAAAGCGAGATCTGAACAAACACCTTCTGTGTAGTCACATGTGAATAGTTTTTCCACTTCCTTAAAAGGACAGAATAAGAAATCCTACCTAAACCCAGTACATATTATATTTTGCTATATATAGACATTAGGCTATTATATAGTAAGTTATGTAAACAACAGACTTTACTGATGCTCATGTGGAATCTGTACCTTCAAGAATTTCCACATTTTCAAGTAGAATATATATATACACATCTGGCTCTTTCCTGAATTATGTTAGTTAAGGTGCCACATATCATATTATATATGAACAACCTTCATTGTAGTTTTTTTATTTTTTAAGTTATACCATGGAGTTCTTGTGAACAGGAGAATGAATTATAAATTACAAAACCATCTTGAGGAGAAAGTGCTGGACATGCCTGAGTCTTATGTACCTGCTTTGCAGGGTACGCTGTTGAAAATCATCCCCCAGCAAAATTAAATGACCATGTCACAAAGCTTCATGCTACCCTTGAGTAGTAGAATATCACAATGTTCAATTCCAAAACGGTAATTACTGCTCATCATTTTCACATGACAGTATGAGGTCACTTCTCAAAAATCACTGCATCGTTTTTATAAAATTTGATTTAAAGACCAGATTTTATTGCCCCATATGGCAATTTGGCAATAGTCTCTAAACTTTAAAAATTTTCATCTTATTGGAACTAGGAACTTATCTTCATGGGTATGCTCAAGAATTAACTTTAAGTATGCTTATGATGCTGTTGAAAATAATATAGAAAAGTTGGAGGAAAAAACTCTAAGTGTCTCCTCTGATCCATTAAATTTGTTCAATGTAATTTGTACATTCCATAAACGGAATTCTTAATAAAAATTATTTAATAGCCTAGAACATAGTCATGGTATCGTTACCTTTGAGCATAAGATTTATGTGAGATAATTTATTGCCTATGGTGATTTTTAAACTATGATAAACCTATATTATTGTGTAATTAAAAGATAAAAGACTAAAAATTAAAATATAAAAATTCTAGTTTTTTAGGATGGGCAGACCAGTGGAATGATATCTGCCATTACATATTTCCTTAACATAGCTTATTCTATTCTGCATGTAACATGGTAGACTAGTAAATCTCACAAAGATAAATGAGTATCAATTACTGAATAGCCACCTGGTCATGTACTAGATACCCTGGGAAAATAACCAAAGAGATTCATTCCATACCTTCAGAAAGCTCATGCCAATTGGCTGTAACTCAGAATTAGAACTTGTTAGAAATACAGGTTCCTAGATAGACTGAATCAGAGCCTCTGCAAGTAGAGCCTGGTCTACAGATGAACACTGAACAACCAATAAATTCAGTTTAGGGAAATAATTTATGCAAAACAAACATTGATCTAATCACACTGGAATTTCTGTATTGACCAAAGAACTACGTGAAGTATAAATTATTTGAAAAGATGCAGCTTCAACATACACAAATCAATAAATGTGACACACTGCATTAACAGAATGAAGGACAAAGATAATATGATAATCTCAATAGATGCAGATAAAGCATTTGACAAAATCCAACGTCGCTTCATGGTACAAAAAAAAACAAAATACCTCAACATATTAGGTATGGAAAGAATGCACCTCAACACAAAGGACCCCATATGACAAACCCACTGCTAGCATTACACTCAACAATAAAAGATTGGAAGCATTTTTCCCCCTCTAATATCAGGGATGAGACAAGGATGACCATTCTCACCACTTCTATTTAATATAGTACCCAAAGTCCTAGCCAGAGCAATTAGGTGAGAGCAAGAAATAAAAGCCACCCAAATTGGAAAGGAAAAAGTTCAACTGTTCCTATTTGCAGACGGCATGATCTTACATCTAGAAAATCCTAAGGACTACGTTAAAAAACTCTTAAAACTAATAAATGAACTCAGTGAAGTTGCAGAATACAAAATAAACACACAAAATCCGTAGTGTAACAACCAGTAGTGTAGCAATCTGAGAAAGAAATCTTAAAAATTTTCATTTATAATGGATACAAAAATTACTTAGGAATAAATTGAATCAAGGAAGTGAAAGACTTGCACACTGAAAAGTATAAAACATTGATGAAAGAAATTGAAGAAGACTCAAATGAATTGAAAGATATCTTGTGTTCCTGGATTAGAATTAATATTGTTAAAATGTCCAAACTACCCAAAGCGATCTAGATATTCAATGCAGTTCCTATCAAAATCCCAGTGACATTTTTTCTTCACAGAAGTAGAAAAAAGAATCCAAAAATTTGTATGGAACTACACAAGACCAAATAGCCAAAGCAATCTTAAGCAAAAAGAACAAGGATGGAGGTATCACACTAAGTGACTTTAAAATATACCACAAAGCTATATCGAACAGCATGGTACTGGCATAAAACCAGACACATATAGTAATAGAACAAAATAGAAAGCAAAAAAATAAACCCATACATTTACAGTCAATTAATTTTCCACAAAGGTGCTAAGAACACACAGTAGAGCAAGGACAGTCTCTTCAATAACTGTTGCCGAGGAAACGGAATATTCACATGCAGAAGAACGAAATAGGACCCTAATCTCACACCATATACAAAAGCCAACTCAAAATGGATTAAAGACTTAAAAATATAACCTGACACTGGAAATCTACTAGGAGAAAACATACAGGAAAACTCCATGACATTGGTCTGGACAATGATTTTTTGGATATGACCCCAAAAGCACTGACAATGAAAGCAAAAATAAACAAATAGGATTACGTCAACTAAAAAGCTTCTGCCAAGCCAAGGAAACAATTAGCAGAATAAAGCAACAACTTATGAAATAGAAGAAAATATTTGCAAACCATATATCTGATAAGGGGTTAATATCTAAAATATATAAGGAACTCAAACAGCTCAATAGCAAGAAAACAAATAAGCTGATTTAAAAATGGGCAAAGGACCTGAATGGATATTTCTCAAACGACGACGTGGAAATAGACAACAGATGTATAAAAAGGTACTCACTATAATTAATCATCAGAGAAATGCAAATTAAAACCACAATGAGATACTGCCTCACACCTGTTAGAATGCTATTTTCAAAAACATGAAAGATAGCAAGTATTGGTGAGAATGGGGAGAAAGGGGAATCCTTGCACATTGTTGGTGGGAATGTAGATTAGTACAGCCATGATGAAACAGTATGGAGGTTCCACAAAAAAATTAAAAATAAACTACCACGAGGTCCATAAATCCCACTACTAGCAATTTTTTTTAGGATGCGGAATGACACACAGTGATAGTTACACTATATAAATATTAAAGTGTTTAATCCTTATGATAACCATAGGAGGAGAAAAGTTATATTATCCTATAGGAAACTGAGGCAGAAATGTTAATTAAGTTTTCTAAGGAAAGTTTTTAAGTAAATGGAAGATAGAATTTGAATCTATGCAATTTGGGTACAGAGTCCATGCTTTTAGGTGCTGTATTATTGGCTTTTCACACTATTACACCTTTATTTTTTTCAGTTGCCAGTGAAGTTACTGGACTCATCAGTAGTCTAGGATATGATGTGCTAGCTAATGACCTCAAAAATCTCAGTGGCTAGCAACTTCAAAAGTATATTTCATACTCCTGCTACTGGTACATTGCAGAGTGGCTGCAACTGTGCTTCTATGTTTTTTCCATGTAGGGACCTAGGCTGGCAGAGCAGCTTCTATCTGGAACATTGCTGTTATCGTGGCAGAAGGCAGAGACATACCAAATGTTGGTGCTTAAAAATCTGGGAAATAATTTATGCTGCTTGCTCCTATATTTGGCAAAAAAAGTCACATGACAAAGCCTTCCATTAATGGGACTGGGCAGTAAAATCCTCCCCAAATGAAGAGTATCAAACATTTTTGAACAATCTTCCACAGTCTCAATTACTTATTATAATTGTAACAATATATTTATTATTATTATTATTTGTTTTCCTTGTTCAACTTTAAGCCCCTGTCTTCAATATTCAACACTTTCTATTCAATGCCTCATACAGTATTTGGCATCCAATAGGCACATCGCAATTATATTGAAGAGATAAATGAATGCACATATTTGTTGACAGCCAGGGATGGGCATGGTAAAAGGACAAACTTTAGTATCAGGTAAATTCTGGGCTCCAGTCTTAATTCTGTCCTTAGTTACTGTGGAATCTGGCAAATTAGCCTTAATAAGCTTCAGTTTTTTTCATTTTTAAAATAGGAAAAATAGGCCAGGCTCGGTGGCTCACACCAGTAATCCCAGCACTTTGGGTGGCCAAGGCAGGCAGGCCAGGAGTTCAAGACCACTATGGCCAACATGGCAAAACCCTGTCTCTACTAAAAAATGCAAAAATTAGCCAGGTGTGGTGGCACACACCTGTAGTCCCAGTTACCTGGGAGGCTGAGGCAGAAGAATCACTTGAACCCAGGAGGTGAAGGTTGCAGTGAGCCAAGATTACAACACTACAGTCCAGCCTGGGCCATAGAGCAGGAATCTGTCTGAAAAAAAAAAAGGAACAATTACTGTGCTTACCTCATGAGGCTGTTCCAATGATTAAATGAGATAATGTTTGCAAACATAATGGTGGCCATAGTAACTATTATTTGTTTACCACATATTATTCAATCTAATGCTTCATAAAAGTAAAACACAAGGTGCACTATTATTTTGTAGTTTACTCTCTTCTACATAGAAAGAAGATAGTTACCAATAAAACAATTACATAACACATTTAAGGTGGACTCAATTTCAGAGTTGTTAAAATGTCAAAAATGTGCTTTTTTACAATTGATGACATTTATGTATTAGAAAGTCAGAAATTCATAAAAATACTTTTTAAAAATAAAATTAGGGATTTATGAATGGGCAAATTATACTTAAAAAATAGAGATTTATCTCTATCTGTAGTGTATCAGACACTCTGAGTTGCTTATGTAATAATGATTTTTTCCACCCACTACTCCTTCTTTCTAGAACAAATCCTATGTTTTGTTATTTACAGTGTGCCCAGGGAAGGCAACAAATTCTACTTTCTAGTCTCCAGAAAGGTAAGTATACATTTAATTCAATTATGGTCTCAATCCCTTTACTTGTGATTGGTTTAAAACAGTTATATGACCTAATTCTAGCCAGTGGGACCTGAGGGAAATCTCCCTTCTACCTTTTGGATAAGTGTTTCTTCCTATTTAAAGACCTTTATATGAGGAAACACCTCCCTTTGCTGGACAGAGATAGTGCCTGGTGCCTGCAACCCCAGTTGTGTTGCAACAAAGGAGGGAAAATGTTGGGACTTACAGGTGAAAGTCTCCGAGTCAGTAAGCAAAAATTAGTCATTTGTTCCAGAAAGGAAATGTAGGAAATGTGACTTGACCGTTTTGAGGCTACTTTTCATCAGGGGAAACCAGTATGATCCTTTGAATTTCCGCTATTTTTTTTCTTTTTTTCCCTTTACTTTTAGTTTTTATATACAGAAATCTGGTTATCTGGGAGAATTTTTGAATATCTGCTTAACTAAATGCTCAAGATTATTTAACTCTGGGACCACAGCTTAGAAATCTGAATGGCATTGACAAATGTTAATGGCAAAAAAAAAAAAAAAAAATTGCAGGCTTAAAATTTTAGGATTGCTATCATTTGGGGAATTTTTTAGCTACCATGAATAAAGATGCAAACACCTATAACTTAAATTTTTTCATGATATAGCCATTAAAACAATAATAACTAAAATTTTAATAGATCCTTACTACAAGGCACTTGACATAGTTTGATTTTCTTACATGTTTTAAATTAAATACTTTATTTTGCATTAGTTTCAACCTTACAGAAAAATTGCAAGAAGAGTACAAAAAATTCTCACATGCCCTTCACTCAGAGACCTTATTCCAGTTTTACCAATTGTCCCAGTAATATCCTAGCAAAAAATTTAATCCAGGAATTGTGCCCAGTTGTGTTGTCTCTCTAGTCTTTTTCAACGTGGAACAGTTCCTCACGCTCCCCTTATTTTTCATGACCTTGATGTTCTTGAAGATTACAAGCCAGTTGTTGAGTACAACATCCTTCAAATTAGGTTTGTGTAATGTTTCTTCATGGTTAGACTCAAGTGCTAAGATGTTTTCACTGGATCCTTTTGAGGGGCACACGATATTACTGGTGGTGTTAACTGTAATCCCTTGATTAAGACAGTGTCTGCCAGGTTTCTCCACTGTAATCAATGCATGTTTTGAGGGAGGATACTGAGAGATCATGTGAAAAACGATTTTTCATTCTATGTTCATCCATTAGCATCATTGGTGTTTCTTTTCTGAATACTTATTCTAATGGTTGCCAAAAGGTGATTCTTCACTACCATCATTTCTTTCATAATTATTATGAGTTGGCTTTCTATGATAAGAAAGAGCTTTCTCATTTATTTATCTATGAATATCCATGCGGATTCATGGGTTCCTGTTTTTTCAATGTGTTATAATCTGCTACTCTCACGACATATTTAGATGCTCAAAAATTATTGCAGATTTGACTAATTGGAGCTCTTTCAAGCTAGCTTCCCTATTCTTTAGACAAGTTCCCACCACTCTTTCAGTATTTCCTTACTTTATGGTGTAACACAAATTTCCAGGATCTTCCTGTTCTTTTCCCAACCTATCCCTAAAATTAGCCATTTCTCTAAAGAGCTTGGACTCCTTTTAGTAAGTGGTGTTTAGAAACTGAATGTTCACTGGTATTTGGAAACCAAGATCTGGACACTAAGTGTGTTCATTGCTATTGTGTTATCACTGCTCTCAGGCTCTTTCAGGACACAGAGCTAGGAAACATATGTACTTGTGTATATATGTATACATGCATACATACATTTATATCTGTATTTATCTCTGTATCCTATCTACAAAATGCTGCTTTTCTGCTGATACCTTTGATTCCAATTCAACACCGCAGAGTTCATTCTAGCTTCCCCTTCCCTTCTCTGACACTGAGGAAGCCGGCTCTCATCTCCAACCCCGAAATGTAGCCAATTTCCTGACACCAACTAGTTGCCACCCCCTTTGTACACTAGCCCCAACCATCAATGAAGTCTGACAACCCTGGGCCACTTATTTCACTTGGTCTTTTCTAGTAGCTTTTTGATAAAGGAAGGAAAAAAATGGCAATAGATATTTATTTTAAAAAGTAAAGAGAAAGGAAAAAAAAGCAGTGGAAGAGGAGGTAGAGAAAACCTTTATGTATATTATTATATTAAAGCCTTACTATAGTCTTATGAGAAATGCACAGTGATTATCTCCATTTCACTGAATTTGAGGACTCACTCAAGGTCACACAGATAGCAATCGATGGGATTAAACCCAGAGAATTGACACCTGGCTGCAGATTCAAAATGATAGTCTACAGCCTTTTATCTGCCTATTCTCAGCATTATCTACACTCTGCATTTAATACAATCCTTCATTAGTTTATATGCCTACCCTGGTTGAAATTGGTTAGCACCTAACTCAAGGAGAGTTTACTCCAAGTGCTAGAACTAATGTAAACAGGGAGTCACATTATTACAGCTCCATGTGGTGTTATAATTACATCAGAATGCAGCTCAGTCACTGGCGCATCGTATGCGCCACACTGTCGCCATATTTGCAGATGTTCAGTCTTACTTTTATTAAGCATGACAATGCCCAGCAGGATCCATTTTGTCTGATTATCCTCAAATGGAGAAGAATATTAAAAGGCAGGATAATTAAAAATATATGCCCAAACAAAGGATGTGTCTACAATTCCTTTTCTAGTGCTTTGAAATAGTTCAAATTTCTCAGCTGGCTCTCGTGCACAGAGCACTAAAAGGATGTCTTAAATTTAGACATATGTCTTCATTCTGTTTAATGTGCCAGAACAAAAACATAGCTTGAGACCACCATGAATTGATGTCTAAGTGCTGGAATGCTAAAGAACACTCAAATTTCCACAGGACTAAATGTCATCATAGAGTTTGTGATTGCACTTTCCCCTGTGAGAACATAGCCTTCTATTTTTAAGATTTGTCCCGTACAATTCAATGCTGATATTTCTCCTTGAGTCTACATAACGATTTTCTTTTATTTGGTGTAACTTCAGAGAATTCAAATCATACTCTCATTAGTAGTGCTGTATTTATTGAGAACAAAGGGAAAAAAAATCCCATCACTTTCATACAAGGTAATAGGCCTAAAAAACATTTTTTAAAGTTTGAAAAATGCTAGGTAAATGTATTTGGATATTTCTAGGTCTTCCATGTATTTAAAAAGCCCTTAAAGAAAGTAAACACATAGGTGTATATCAGACAGATACAATGTTTCCAACTGATGGCATGCCAATTATTTGTAGCAGTGGTTAGGATTTTGATGAAAATGGTGTGGCAGCAATAATACCAGAAAGTGGGTTCCATCCCTGAGTTTTACTAATTTTCCATGTCACCAATCATCCGGTCCCTAAATGGGTTTTAGATCATCAGATTCTTAAACTTTGGGAAGGTTTTCTTTTGGGGGTAGAATCTAACTGAAATGTCTTTAGGGTGGAAAAATTTTGAAATCATATGGTATGAAGAAGTTTTGAAGCAATGAAATGAATGTTTCTACTCTAAAACAGAAAAAAATAAGAGAAACATGATATTTATTTTAACATGTTTGAAAGAATGTCATATAAGAAAAAGATTAAATTTGGGGGTGGCCCAAGCATTAGAACATAGACCTACGGATTAGAACATAGATCCATAGAACATGGATGAAATTCATGAAGATGTTAAAAAATAACATTTCAATGTAAGGAAGGTCTTTCTTATGGTGAAAGCTGCCTAAAGATGAATTGATCTGTCTCATAAGGTAGAGAATCTGCATCATGAAATAGGTTCAAGAAGATATTACCACATATCAGTGACATCATAGATCACCATTTCTCAAAATTTAATGGGAATATATATCACCTAGGGTTTTGTTAAAATGCAGATTCTGGCTCTGTAGGTTTGGGTGGGACCTAGATTCTGCCAAGTGATGCATATACTCTCAAACCACAGACCACTCTCTGAATAGCAAGATCATGGGGGAAATTAAATGAGTGAATGATTTATTCTATTGTAGAATTATAACATGAACTTGATCTGATAAGAATAGGAGGGAAATAAAAAGAAAATGAAGAAAAATATAAAAATCATCTTACTACTGCAATGAAGGGTTTTAGATGATTACCGGGAAACAGCCAAAAGAAATACACCATTAGGATCAAAAGAGGTCTAAAGCAAGGTGGAAACCATCTGAAAGAGGGCAATTATTTGGTGAGAGCAAGAGAAACTGAAAGTGCTTAGAGTCGTACTTGTGTGACTAAGCTGTTGTCGGAGGGTGCACCTATAGTTCCAAAGGATTGCTTGAGCCCAGGAGTTTGAGACTAGCCTGGGCAACATAATAAGACTCAGTCTCTAAAAAAATAAAATAAAATAAAATTTAAAAAGGAGCTTCAAAAAGTCCATGCACCCACTAATTTGCCATAAAGGCAACTAAGATGGTGTTCAGACAAGCAAGCAGGTGCTAAAATAAGGGAGAAATGTTCAAGAGCAAGTTTTTTCAGACCACTTTCTGGAGATAGAATGGGAATAGTGTGAAGTTCTGAAAAATCCCAGGATGAGGCTAAAAAGATTCTGGTAACAAATACTTTCATCATCACTGGCCACTTGTTAGCATTCACCACTGGTCTCAGAGGAGCAGGTAGCTAAGACGCTACCTGGAAAGTATTTACCCTGTGACCAAAAGCAACTCTTTCAAACTATGATTTTCCTCTTGAAAGGAAATCTCTTCTTTTCCCTTGTAGCAATGTTATAAAACTGAAAGGACTTCAGAACACATATGCCTTTGATTAGATGAAGAGTCTTCCTACAGCTCCCAATTATCAAGTCTGCCAAAAGTCCAATTTTACCATTTAGATGTGTTAATAACCTAACAGATTCTTTCCAAACACTAATGCTCTTTCCAGGTCTCAACTCTTATCCAAATTGGGGCTGCTTGAGTGCACGCATGGGCTCTTCTGCATTATTCCAATTTTAAATTTTAATATAGGCTTTCAGAAAAATGTGTATTAACCTTAAAAGAATGGCTGAGTAACTCATTATGTTAGGGGTTTCACAGGTCCCCAATGCGTCATTGAGATTGAATTCAGCAGTCTGGTCTGTCCAGGGTGGAGTCTCAGCCCCTTGACCCTAGCCTTAGCCTCCTAAATTTCTTCTAAAGCAATTTAATTGTTTAAATTAAAATCACTGAGCTTTTTTATTAGAAGAAAGTAATAAAATGTAAAAAAAAAAACAAACTATGTAGCTTCCTCAAACTCTTGTTTCTACAGAGAAGCAACATGTTGGTAAATCTGGTGCAATTCTTCTCTTGATGACTGTATTACAATTGGCAGCAACGTTGGCTATTGGAGTTCTTTGATTTAAAACAGTCAAATCATTACAGAGATGCCAGCTGATACTGGATTATATTTGAAAATCATATTAAGCTGGTTTAGATAGGTGTGTTTTAAATTTGGAGAGAGTTCAGAGAAGAGTAGTCAAGATGAGTAAGGTTGGAAAATAAGACCAATGGTAAGAATTGGGAAAGACCAATTTTGAATATTTAAAAATATTTTCCATATCCATATTGATGATTGTAGAAATTTTTCAAGATCTCAAAAAGTATAAATGTAAAATAATACATCCATTCATAAGCCATGTAAATGAAAAAAAGATTTTAAACAAGAATCCCATGTACATGTATAATGTGAAATAACAAGAGAACAATAGTTGATTATTCAGATGGGTCATACAGATTACTTAGAAAAAATCTTATGATAAACGTTCTTTGTTTGCTTTTGTTTTTTGACACTGAGGACTAAATATTAAAAAGATCATTAAAATGAGTTTTACCAGCCTAAACAATACAGAAAGATCTGAACATTTGTTTTAAGTGTACATTTTGGAATCCCCACTACTGGCAATCTGGTCCTATTTTGATTACCTACATCTGTCTTTTTGTATCTATAGGAAGGCCATATACCTGAGTTAGCTTGGATTCCTGTCACCACATCTTGCTATTTCAATCCAATTTGGAAGGTTGATAAGCTTACAATTCCTTTTTCGAGGTGTGATCCAAAAGTTCCTTGGCTTAGTGCTTCCAGTAAAGTTTCAAGGGAATTTACAGAAGTTTTTCCTCTGAATGCTCTCCAACTGTTTTCACTTTAACACATGACTATTAAATATAACACAGTATTTTAGCCCTCAGCAGATCTGTCTGATGCAATGTAAAGAGGGCAGGAATAGAATGTGTTAATAATTAGACTAGAAAATACATATATTTTCTAGAGTCCTTTAATGAAAACATTCACTTTCAAATGTTACACTTTATACCTAAGCTCAAAGGAGGGGATATGTAACCCTTAAAATGCTTAATCCATTGTCCTGCAAGAGAATTTTGTGCGTTGTCCACATAACCTATGATGACAGAACATACAGCAATTTTTTTTTTTTTTTTTGAGACGGAGTCTGGCTCTGTCGCCAGGCTGGGGTGCAGTGGCATGATCTTGGCTCACTGCAACCTCCGCCTCCTGGGTTCAAGCGAATCTCCTGCCTCAGCCTCCCGAGTAGCTGGGATTAAAGGCGCCTGCTACCACACCCAGCTAAATTTTGTATTTTTTTAGTAGAGACCGGGTTTTGCCATTTTGGCCAGGGTGGTCTCAAACCCCCGACGTCAGGTGATCCGCCCGCCTTGGCCTCCCAAAGTGCTGGGATTACAGGAGTAAGCCACCATGCCTGGCCACATATAGCAATTTTAAACCTCTTTATCAGCTATAGCACTTGTTTAAAATAAGGGAGTGGTATAGATTTATACATAAAAGCTAAACCTGAGATATGTCTAGATACTGTGTAGATGTATGGTAAAATATGCTGGTTATTTTGTTTAGAGATTATTTTAGAGCCAACAAGCAGAAAGACAAATACAAAATGGTAGGTGGCCCAGCTAAAACAGTGGCTAATTATGGAGATTTAATGGTTGGAAAATGTATATTCTTGTCTGTACAAAGTTAAAATGTATGTGGATCATCATATATATAGCTTTCTTGAACAACATTTTTCAAACTGTGACTCCTGGTTAGGATTTTATAATAGATATGAGGGATAAAGAATTGACTCAGGTCCTGGGACTTCAGGTGGCTTGTAATCTAATCAAGAATGGAGATATGATTGATGTGAGCTAAGAACTAAGTGTTTTGGGGGAATCATATCATATTTTAAGAGAGACATTGACCAGGAGAAAAATATGTATTATTTGGGGGCATTCTAACCAGATAGTGAACAGTGTGAGAAGAAACCAACTCTGTTTAACCCAGAGAAAAATGAGGACTTAGAATGACTGGAGATATGTAAGATGCTGTCTCACCAGGCAGCACTATCTGGGAAATTATTATGCTGAATATTTTTAGAATGACAGAATTACATGGGTATGTTTCTATCATGTGCCTTTCACTCCAAACCACAGCTGATTGAGTAATGAATCAGCAGCTGAAATCTCATCAGGTTAGAAATCAAATATGCTCCCCAGATTTAAGTGCTACTAACTCATTTCCAATTGCTCTGGTCAAGTTTGCTGTTTCATGTGTCTTGGGTTGGCTTCGCTGATAAGCAGACCTAGGAGCTGGTATGCCTCAGATGTACCCTATGTTCCTGTATAGCACTTTAGCTTTAGTATTCCCTACTTTCTTCCTGTTATTAGTCCAGTATATGGGACAGGGATTCTGCTTGCTTCCATTTATTCAGGATTAACTGCCTTTTCAATTAGTTGTCTTTAAACTTGAATGTACATCAGTAAAATCTGGAGGGCTTGTTAAATCTGGAGGGCTTGTTAAATCTGGAGGGCTGGTTACTGGGCCCTACCTTCAGAGCTGCTGATTCAATAGGTCTGGAGTAAGGTTGGGAAATTTGCAGTTCCCAGTTGAAGCTGATGCTGCTGGTCTAGGGAATCACACTTTTAGAAGAACCACTGTGATTTGCCTAGACTGTCTTTGTTAATTCTCAGAGGATCCCTGTGAAATAGGAATAATTATCTCCCCATTTCACAGAAGAGAAAATAGATGTTAAAGAAAATTTATTCCAAAATACATAGGTTAGATGGGGTAGAACAGAAGGTAATCAGACTCCAGAGCCAATGGTCCTAACAGAGCATCCAGCTTACCTGGTAGCTTTGCTTGTGTTCTAGCTACTCCTCTAGAACGAGGCGGTGTCTGGAAACAACTGGCAGCCAGCATCCTTGGATCTTGCTTTGCTCTTGTTAACCTGTCTTTTCAACTTGTATCATAAATCCTCGTTTTAAAATGCCGGTACCTGAGCCATAGTTGATTCTGCTGTCATGTTGGAACTCTTGCTTAGGACTTCTTTGCTGCTGTCACCAAAGCTGCTAAGTAGCCTGGTTACTTTCCTTTGTCACCCATGGTTTTGTTGTTGTTGTTGTTGTTTTCTGGCCCTATAATTTTTCCTATTGGCTGGTTATTTGTTGAGACCTCAAGCTATCCTGAGTCAAAGTCACGCATGGCATAATGATCTGTGTCACCTTCTGTGTTTTTTCTTTGAAAAATGACATAAACTCCTTTATACCCTTTAACCCATCACAGGTGCATTTGATGCTCAGGAAGCAGGGAAAAAGAAAGAGTGAGTTTTAAAAATATGAGTGTTTCTTTAGCTTTACCCAGAGGGGAGGGTGCTTGGCTGACTGATGGCACTATCTCTGTCTATAAAATCTTACTACCACAGAATAACCCAACATATTATCATGCCTAGGTTGATACCACTGTCACTGAAGATTATTTACTAACCACTGTTAGGTTTGTAGATACATCAAATGATCTGAATTTAGATCTTAAATTCTTTTGCCCAGCTTCCAGCATATTTGTTACTCCTAAATTGTGAATAAATGAATGACTGTCTACTTTGGGGAAAATTTAATTCCCCAACATAATTAATGTGGCATAGTTAGTCATTTCTTCAGAGTAAATTAATACATTGACACCCTAATTTATAAATTATAATTTTATGATTTTGTTGGCATAAATCGGTTTCCTGGAGCCTGATTTAAGTTATTATAAATCTGCTGTGTCGAGATTCAGACTCTGCTGCTGGTAATAACCCCTTTCAACAATCTACAGCTCCATTAGAAAAACATCTAACTCTGTAGAGTAGTGAGCCTCAACTCTGGTTATACATGAGAATTTCATGAGAAGTTTTTTAAAAATATGGATGCCTGGGCCTCCTTCCAAGAAATTCTCACCCTGTTTGACTGGAATGGGGCCCGGACATTGATAAAGCTCCCCAGGCAATTGTAATGTGCAACTAGGATTGAGATCATTTTTGCTTTGTCTGAAAATGGTAGTTATGCTTAGTGTTGGGGCTGGTCAAATTTTGAAGAGAGAAGATATAAGCAACTTTATATTTGCTTTTTTCTTTCTAAAACAGATGGCTTGATAAATGCTTATTTTTCATGATAAAGAAACCCAATAGTTTTATGAACAATTTTTTTTTTTCTCAGTTTTTAAAATTCTAACCCTAGGGCCCTGAAAAACAGACAAGAAATTGTGACTCTCTTTCTCCACCTGGTGGCAGATAGTGTTATAATCTACAGAAAATAGAATAATAGGGAGAAATTATTGTAAATCTCAAAAACCCAACAAAGTAGCAGTGTTGGTCACAGGACTGACTACTGATTTCAGGTGCCTTCTCTGGCAGAGGTTAACAAATTTCTACAAGCCAGCCAGAGTACTGATCCATCAATTTCTGATATTCTTCCAAGACCCTAAGTTTTATGCTACTTTTGAATTTAAAGCTATCAACGGAGTACAACAAGAAATGCTCTTTTCTTCCCCACAGTACTTTCCTTTCTGCATGAAGGATTGCTGATTTGGCTAATGTCAGGTGGCAGTGATCTGCGGGGAAGAGGGATACAGAATGGTTAAGAATAACTGGCTGGCAGTAGTGGCTCACTCCTGTAATCCCAGCACTTTGGGAGGCCAAGGTGGGAGGATCACCTGAGGTCAGGAGTTCAAGACCAGCCTGGCCAACATGGTGAAACCCTGTCTCTATTAAAAGTACAAAAATTAGCCGGGCATGGTGGCGGGCACCTGTAATCCCAGCTACTCGAGAAGCTGAGGCAGGAGAATCACTTGAATCCGGGAGGCGGAGGTTGCAGTGAACCAAGATCACGCCACTGCACTCCAGCCTGGGCAATAATAGCAAAATTCTGTCTCCAAAAAAAAAAAAAAAAAAAAGAATAACTATCCTTTTCAGTTACTAAAAAGAACAATAAACATATTATAAAACATGCATTACCTGTGGTTAATTTCAAAATTACCAGTCTCCAATTATCAGTTACCCATTACCAGTAACCAACGTAAACTGTAATGATTCCTTTATAGAGTTTATTGCTTAAACTGTAATATGAGAGGGGAGACAATATCAGAAAGGCAGAAATGGCTATCTTTGAATGCTTAAATATTCAATTAACCACTGTATGACTTTAATTGAAGAATTTAAACTTTCTGAATCTCAGTTTCCCTGTGTGTAAAGTGGGGAGAATACTCATGTGAATTACATAGGCCAATTCCTATCCCATGGTAAATAGCCAGTAAATTAATTACTACAAATTCAAGCTATGGCAGTTGCCCATATTTGAAATGTGAGTACAACAAGAAACATAGGCTTCTAAAATTTTTATATTTTACTTTGATGTATTATATATTGATTACCTAAGAGCATGGGCCCCGAAGGTAAATTTCTATGTGCAAACCTTGGTTATTCTGCTAATTAGCCATGCGATCTTGATCATTTAAATTCTTTGTACTTCAATTTTTTTTCATCTATAAAATGGAGATACTAATTATGCTTACCTCTTTGTGTAATTACGAGCATTAAATGTGCTATTATATGTAAAATTGCTTAGAACAGGACCTAACACACAGAACATTTTTAGTAAATGTTAGTTATTATAATTGCCTTTGTTATTGTTGTTCTATGCATTGTGTTGTATTCTTTACCAAGTAGTGATAGGTTCCAAGACAGTAACATTGTTTGAAATTGTTACATAGCTTAGTAATGTAGTGAAAAGGAAACATGCTGAAAATATTGTTATATCTGAGTGTGTAAACAAAAAGAAGCCAAATTTTAAACTGCATTCTAATATAACTTTTATTCTGACAGATAGTTTAGAACTTTAGATAGTCTTTCAATAGTTTACTGTCCCTGTCTTTAGGTACAATACATGGATCTTAAACTAAAATCAGTTTTGGAATCTGTATCTGACACCTTTTTGTTTTCCCTCTCCTCCTGCTCCCTCCTTGCTTCCAATTACCTGCCGATAAATGGTTTTAAGCATAGTGGCAGGGTAAGACTGATAGCATTCTGGATGAAACAGGGATGTGTAGGCCATGAGAAACCATAACCTTATCTCACTAGTCTCTTTCTCCTTCACAAGGTTGACATTTAATCCATACTGGCTAAGAATTGAGGAAATCACTTTATATTGAATTTCTTATTGGATATCTAAATTTTTATCAAGATCAATGGCAGTAGTTGCAATTTGTTGTTGATATACTCACATTTCTTTGCCTTATGAGATCTATTTCAAATATATGTCCTTTAAATTTGTATATTTACCTAATTGAAACAAAGCATGCATATAATTATATGTCTACAGATTCCAATTTTATAATGTGGACAGAGTGAGTAAGGGCAGCAATTTTATGTGAAATTGTTTGTACATTTTGTAATAATCTCCGCATGTTCTAAAACACAGAAAAAACATAACCAAAGAAACAGTAACTGAAGAGGAAATGCATTTGTTTAATGCATTCTATTATCTTTGATTAAAACATTCCTTCCTTATGATGTGGGTAATTAAGTATTTATTCAAAAAAATAAAGATAAAACATCACTTCCAGTTTCCAGAATGAGCTCATTTTTTTTTTTCTAGTGAGATTTTTTATGAATCATCCCAGCAGTTTGCCACGTTTAGGAGCTGGAGGATTCACTTGCCATTCCACAGAGTTCTTCTTCTTTTTTTTTTTTTTTAGACAAGGTCTTGCCCTGTAGCCCAGGGTAGATTGAAGAGGGGCGATTTTAGCTCCCTGCAACCTCTGCCTCCTGGGCTCAAGTGATCCTCCCACCTCAGCCTCCCAAGTAGAGTAGCTGAGTAGTTGGGACTACAAACACACGCAGCCACACCCAGCTAATTTTTGTATTTTTTGTATGGATGGGATTTCACAATGTTGTGCAGGCTGGTCTCAAACTCCTGGACTCAAGCAATCTACTTGCCTCAAAAGTGCTGGGATTACAGGTATGAGTCACTGCGCCTGGCCCAAAGAGTTCATTAACGCTTCTTGATCTAAAATAATTACTCCTTTCTTCTCTTGGACAATTCAAGAAAAAAAGATATATAGCTATTCATGAATGAAAAAAAAAAGCTTCTCTTATCTTAGGCAGTGAGACATTAAGATTTATAAAACTATATACTCCCATCCTGAGCTAAAACCACAAACAGTATTTTGACATAACTGTGCTAGAAGGAAGGAAATTGGGAATTATATTCCAATGGTAATAACTACTATTATTCTCAAAGTATGTTCATACCTCTACAATTTTATCTTTACAGACATATGTTAGCAGAGACATATTTGGACCCAACCTATATACTTTTTCTCTATAAAGCATTCAAAGAACAATGTGACGATTACAGTTGTGTGGTAAGAAATATTAATATAAAGAATGTATTAACTGTAAATTGATTGTTAAAGATATTTTACACATTGTGGTTGTTATGTTGTACAAATGTCAAAAAATAATCTTGGGATAAATTGCTTACTTATAATCACTTGATTAATTGCAATTTTTTTGTGTGTGTCAGATATGCTTTTATTTCATCCTGATGACTAGCTATTCAGAGATAAATGTAATGCTTACAGTACCTATATTATCCTAGATTTCTTTCTGGTTTACTTAATAACATTTTAATTTTTAATATCTATTTTAAAAATTTTACTCTACTTGTATCTTTTAAAAGACTCTAATTCTTCCTGAAAGCAGAAATGTATAGTAAAATAGGAGAAATCATTCTTACATGATATGGTTTTACATGATATCCAGAATGCTGCTGGCTTCCAGTTTTTTTGTTTGTTTGTTTGTTTGTTTGTTTGTTTGTTTTGAGATGGTGTCTTGCTCTGTTGCCAGGCTGCAGTGCAGTGGCGCGATCTCAGCTCACTGCAACCTCCGCCTCCCAGGTTCAAGTGTTTCTCCCCTCTCAGTTTCCCAAGTAGCTGGGACTACAGGCACACACCACCACGCCTGCTCATTTTTGTATTTTTAGTAGAGACAGGGTTTCACCATGTTAGTCAGGATGGTTTTGATCTCTTAACCTCGTGATCCGCCTGCCTCCGCCTCCCAAAGTGCTGGGATGACAGGCGTGAGCCACCGTGCCCAGTCACTTCCAATTTTAAAATAGAGAATTCGACTGGCTAGGCCAATGTCTCTTTGAGTTCTCACACTAAGTTTTTCTTGTTGGGTAGTTGAATTAGAAGAAGTTATCCTAGGAATTTAGGTTAGGCATGGTGGCTCACGCCTTCCATCCCAGCACTTTGAGGGGCCAATGGGGGCAGACTGGTTGAGCCCCAGAGTTCTAGACAAGCCAGCCTGGACAACGGTGAAACCTCATATCTACAAAAATTACAAAAATTAGCCAGGCATGGTGGCACATGCCTGTAGTCCCAGCTACTCAGGAGGCTGAGGTAGGAGGATAGATTGAGTCCCGAAAGTCAAGGCTGCAGTGAGCTGTGAAGGTGACACTGCACTCCAGGCTGGGTGACAGAACACTGAGCAAGACCCTGTCTCCATTAAAAAAGAAAAAAAGGAAAAAGAAAATTTCTTCTAGGAATCTAGTCTCTAAATACACTTATGGGTATTTTCTCATCTACTCTTTCAAATTCTGATGATTCCTTTTACAACTCAATAGTAGATTAGGACAGAGTTTCCAAGTTATTCAACTGAGATAGAATTTGAACATTATTCATGATTTTTGGCTAAGACAGTCTAGGCAGAGAGCAGCTGTGGCAATCAGAATTCTTAGCAATTGCCTGACTACTACTAGTCTGACAGAGATCTTCCTTTGGCCAATGATTTCTCTTTTCTCTCATCTTCATTTTCTTGCCTCTCCTTTGCACTACCTCCATCCTGTAACCCTAATCAGATCGTCCACAATTCCAGAGCCCCAGTTCCTTTTATAATATAATTATATATAATTATAATAAAAGTTACTTTTTAAATTGAGGGCATACTCTATTAGAGCCACTCTGCTAACCATTTTGCATGCATTACGATGCAGTCTCATGTTTTATGGATTGAGTGACCATGTGTTCTGTTTTTCAAGAACAATTCTATTTATCTTGATTGTACTGGTATACTTAATCATAGTGCTCCCTTTCATTCTCAGAAGTGACCTGGTTAGGACAATAACCGATATGATCATTACATATTTTATTAGCTTCCCAGGGCTGTTATAACAAATTACAAAACACTTAGTGGCTTAAAACAATAAAAATTTATTCTTTCACAGTTCTGGAGGCAACACGTCTGAAATCAAGGTGTCAGCAGGGCTCCCTCCCAAGGCTGTAGGGGAAAGTCCTTCTATCCCTCTTCCAGTTTCTGCTGGTGCCTGACTCTCTTGATTTGTGACAGAATAACTCCAGTCTCTGCCTCCATCTTCACATGGCCTTCTCCATGTCTCTGTGTCCTTTTCTCTTCTGTTTCTTATAAGGACACTTTCTCTTGGATGACAATGACAGATAATCTTTCTAATCCACATAATCTTATCTCAACATCCATCCTCACCTTACCTTAACTTACCTTATCTGTAAAGACCTTCATTCTAAATTAGGTCACTTTCTGAGGTTTTAGGTAGACATATCTTTTGGGGGCTATAATTCAACCAATGACCTATAGATACATGTAGTAAGTTTTTAAACTGGCATATTAAAAATATGCCTTGTTAAAATTGCCTTTGAAAAATATCTCCATATCTGTGAGGGATTGCTTCCAGGACCCTCACTAATAACCAAAGTCTTAGCATAATCAAATGCTGTAGCTGGCGCTGCAGAGCCCATGGATACAAAAAGTCATCATTCCTTATACGTGAGTTTCACATCTCGAGAATACTGCACTTCCCACCTGCATTTTGTTGCCAATGTGGAACCTGACAATGTGGAGGCCTGACTGCACTTATTGAAAAAAAATCCGCCATAAGCGGGATTTGAACTGCCCATTCAGTTCAAACCCGTGTTGTGTAAGAGTCAACTGTATAAAATAATTTTTATTCACATTAAAATTTGAAACTGCTTGGTCAAACTGAACAAAACATAGCAAGAAAAGTCTTTGTTCAATTTAGAAAATTTAAATAATTTATTATGACTTTAAGACAATAAAGGTAAATTTCAAGCCTTGAAGGGGGAAGCTTGGAGAATTAAAAAAATATATATATATTCCTCCTTGCCTCTACTGTGTTATAGTAATCTTGTTTAAGCTTAATATAATTAACAAATTCTTGTTCCAAGAATTACATATGATAGAGAAATCTCTTCTCAGTTGTATCTCATTTGAGCCTCATTTTAATTCATAACTTATCCTCACATTACAGATAAGGAATTCATAGCTTAGAGATAAGTTTCCAGCAACAGTTCACATTTAGAAAGCTGTAGAACTAAGATTCTAGTTCTGATGGCAAAACAGATTCTCTGAAATACTATGTCACTGATAGCAGTTAATAATTAGATTAGATATCATAATTACAGATACTATAGCTTTAGTATAATAGATAATATAGATATAATTGCATGTAATTATTAGATAATTAGAAAATCCTTCTAATAACAAATGCAACAACTTTTAAATTAGTTTATAGATTAAAAAGGCTATAATTCATGTTTAAAAACAGAATAATACCAATACAAAGATAAAGTAATTCCTCTAGATTCCTCAGTTCATGTGGAAAAATCACTACGGGGAATTTTTATGCAGATAATTTTTCTACGCATTTACAGGTACATACGTACATATGTACATACACATGTGTGTATTATACATATAATACACACATATATCTTTTATATGTATATTATATATAATACACACATATATCTTTTACATCTTATACAAATGAGATTCAACTTGACATAATGTTCTGCAACCTTTTCCACTTGATGAATAGCTTGTCATGTAGATCTTCCTTATTCTTTGTAGCTGCTACTTACCATAACTTTTTGGGGATGTTTTCTATAATTTAGTTAGATGGCTCTTTTTTTCCATAAGTTATTGAGGTACCGGTGTATTTGGTTACATTAGTAAGTTCTTTAGTGGTGATTTGTGAGATTTTGGTGCACCCATCACCCGAGCGGTATACACTGCACCATATTTGCAGTCTTTTATCCCTTGTCCCACTCCCACTCTTCTCCCCAAGTCCCCAAAGTCCATTGTATCATTCTTATGCCTTTGTGTCCTCATAGCTTAGCTCTCACACATCAGTAAGAATATATGACCTTTGCTTTTCCATTCCTGAGTTACTTCACTTAGAATAATAGTCTCCAACTCAACCAGGTCGCTGCAAATGCTATTAATTCATTCCTTTTTGTGGCTGCATAGTATTCCATTACACACACACACACACACACACACACACACACACACACACACACATATATATACACGCCACTGTTTCTTTATCCACTCATTGATTGACCAGCATTTGGGTTGGTTCCATGATTTTGCAATTGTGAATTGTGCTGTTATATACATGCATGTGCAAGTATCTTTTTCAAATAATGACTTCTTTTCCTCTGAGTAGGTACTCAGTAGTGGGGTTCCTGGATCAAATGGTAGTTCTACTTTTAGTTCTTTAAGGAATCGCCACACTATTTTCCTCAGTGGCTGTACTAGTTTACATTCCCACCAGCAGAGTAGAAGTGTTCCCTGTTCACCACATCCATTCCAAAATCTACTATTTTTTGATTTTTTGACTATGGCCATTCTTGCAGGTGGTGTCGCATTGTGGTTTTGATTTACATTTCCCTGATCATTAGTGATGCTGAGCATTATTTCAAATGTTTGTTGGTCATTTGTATATCTTCTTTCTGAGAATTGTCTATTCATGTCCTTAGCCCAATTTTTGATGAGATTATTTGTTTTTTTCTCGTTAATTTGTTTGAGTTCATTGTAGATTCTGGATATTAGTCTTTTGTCAGATGTATAGATTGTGAAGATTTTCTCCCACTCTGTGGATTGTCTATATACTCTGCTGACTGTTCCTTTTGCCATGCAAAAGCTCTTTAGTTTAGTCAGGTCCCAGATATTTATCTTTGTTTTTACTACATTTGCTTTTGCAAGTGTTCTTGGTCATGAAATCCTTGCCTAAGCCAATGTCTAGAAGGGTTTTTTCAATGTTATCTTCTAGAATTTTTATAGTTTCAGGTATTAGGTTTAAGTCCTTAATCCACCTTGAGTTCATTTTTGTATAAGGCGAGAAATGAGGATTCAGTTTCATTCTCCTACATGTGGCTAGCCAATTATCCCATCACCATTTGTTGAAAAGAGTGTCCTTTTCCCACTTTATGTTTTTGTTTGCCTTGTCAAAGATCAGGTGGCTGTAAGTACTTGGGTGTATTTCTGGGTTTTCTATTCTGTTCCATTGGTCTATGTGCCTATTTTTATACCAATACCATGCTGTTTTGGTGACTATGGCCTTATAGCATAGTTTGAAATCAGGTAGTGTGATGCCTCCAGATTTTCTCTTTTTGCTTAGTCTTGCTTTGGCTATGCAGGCTTTTTATTGGTTCTATATGAATTTTAGAATTTTTTTTTATAATTCTGTGAAGAATGATGGTGGTATTTTGATGGGGATTGCATGGAATTTGTACATTTCTTTTGGCAGTATGTTCATTTTCACAATATTAATTCTATCCATTCATGAGCATGGGATGTGTTTCCATTAGTTTACGTTGTCTATTATTTCTTTTAGCAGTGTTTCATAGTTTTTCTTGTAGAGGTCTTTGGACTGCATCCAAAGGTATATTTCTAAGTATTTTATTTTATTTTATTTTATTTTATTTTATTTTATTTTACTTTTTGCAGCTATTGTAAAAGGGGTTGAGTTCTTGATTTGATTCTCTGCTTGGTCACTGTTGGTGTATAGAAGAGCTACAGATTCGTGTACATTAATTTTGTACCTCAAAACTTTGCTGAATTCTTCTATCAGCTCTAGGAGCTTCCTGGAAGAGTCCTTAGGGTTTTCAAGGAAAACGGTTATATCATCAGCAAACAGTGACAGTTTGACTTCCTCTTTACTGATTTGGATGTCCTTTATTTCTTTCCCTTGTCTGATTGCTCTGGCTAGGACTTCCAGTACTGCATTGAAGAGGAGTGGTGAGAGTGGGCATCCTTACCTTGTTCCAGTTCTTAGAGGGAATGCTTTCAACCCTTCCCCATTCAGCATTATGTTGGATGTTGGTTTGCCATAGATGGATTTTATTACATTAAGATATGTCCCTTGTATGCCGATTTTGTTGAGAGTTTTAATCATAAAGGATGCTGGATTTTGTTGAATACATTTTTGAATCTATTGAGATGATCATGTGATCTTTGTTTTTAATTCTCTTTCTGTGGTGTATCACATTTATTGACTTATTATCATGCTTCTTGGTGTGGATCTTTTGCTAGTGAGTTCTTATCCATTCTGAGGTTCTGTATCTCTTAAGCAGAGCATTTAGGCCATTTGCATTCAATGTTAGTATTGAAATGTGAGGTACCGTTGCATTCATCGTGCTCTTTGTTGCCCGTGTACTTTGGGTTTTTGTTTTTTGTTTTTGCTTTTTAACTTGTATTTTTGTTTAATAGGTCCTGTGTGATTTATGCTTTAAAGAGGTTCTGTTTTGATGTGTTTCCAGGACTTGTTTCAAGATTTAGAGCTCCTTTTAGCAGTACTTACAGTGGTGGCTTGGTAAGGGCAAATTCTCTCAGCATTTGTTTGTCTGAAAACAGTTGTATCTTTCCTTGATATATGATGCTTAGTTTTGCTGCATACAAAATTCTTGGCTGATAATTGTTTTGTTTGAGGAGGCTGAAAATAGGGCCCCAATCCCTTCTAGATCGTAGGGTTTCTGCTGAGCAATCTGCCGTTAATCTGATAGGTGTTCCTTTACAGGTTACTTGGTGCTTCTGCCTCACAGCTCTTAAGATTCTGTCCTTCGTCTTATCTTTGGATAAATCAGGGATATCCTCTTAGTGTGGATTCTTTGCTGGTGAACTAGTATGATTTTGCGGGGGCGTGTTGAAGAGCTTTGTTTTGTTATATTACCAGGGTTGGTTTCTGGTTCCTTCTCATTTGGGTAGGCTCTGTCAGAGGGAAGGTCTAGGGTTGAAGGCTGTTGTTTGGAATCTTTTGTCCCTCAGAGTGTTCCCTTGATGTAATACTTTCCCTCTTTTCCTGTGGATGTGGCTTCCTGTGAGCCGAACTGCAGTGATTGTTGTCTCTCTTCTGGGTCTAGCTACCCAGCGAGTCTACCCAGCTCTGGGGTGATATTGGGGTTGTCTGCACAGAGTCCTGGGATGTTAACCTCTATGGGTCTCTCAGCCATGGATACCGGTGCCCATTCTGGTGTAGATGGTGGGGGGTGTGCAATGGACTCCATGAGGGTTCTTAGCTTTGGTGGTTTAATATTCTATTTTTGTGTTGGTTGGCCTCCTGCCAGAAGGTGGCACTTTCCAGAGAGTATCAGCTGTGATATTATGGGGAGGAACTGGCAGTGGCCAGGGCCCTAGAACTCCCAGATTATATGCCCTTTGTCTTCCACTACCAGGGTGGGTAGGGAAGGACTATCAGGTGAGGGCGGGGCTAGGTGTGTCTGAGTTCAGCCTCTCCTTGGGCAGGTCTTGCCGCGGCTGCTGGGAGGGATGGGGGTGAGATTCCCAGGTCATTGGAGTTGTGTATCTAGGAGGATGATTGCTGCCTCTGCTGAGTCATGCAGGTTGTCAGGAAAGTTGAGGAAAGTCGGCAGTCACAGGCCTCACCCAGTTCCCACGCAATCTGAAGGGCCGGTCTCACTCCCATTGTGCCCCATCAATAGCCCCCAGACCATTTCCAGCTGGAGAGCGATACAGGCTTGAAAACATACCCCAGGCTATCTGCCTCCCAGCTGTGAAAGAAAAGGGCTTGGTTCTTTCCCTGCCTAAGGAGTCTGCACACCGGATTTACATCCTCCCCCGAGTGCTGGCCAGAAGGCTTCTCACCTGTTCAAATTGTTACGAAGTTCAGTTAGAGATTTGCTTCTCCCTGTGTAGTTTTACCCCCTGCTCCTCTCCCGTTGGATCCCTGTATTGCCAGGCAGGAATGGCCTGCTACAGGACCCCGCGAGCTCCCAGGGCCTTTCTGCTGCTTTCTGTACCCCTGTATTTCACTCGGCTCTCCAAATGGACTCAGCTCCAGGTAAGGTCATAAACTTCTCCTGCAAACAGACCTTCAGCGTCTCCAGTGGGGGTGTGTGTTTGGGAGAGGAGGGTCTCCCTTTCCCACTTCTGCAGTTGGGGCACTTAGAGTTTTGGGGGGTCTCCTGGGTCCTTCAGGAGTAGTCCACTTCCTTCAGAGGGTCTGTAGGTCTTCTCTGGATTGCTGATTTCTAGATGGCTTTTATAAACAATGCTGCAACCAACATGTTGGTACACATGTATTTGAAAATATGTGTGCGATAGCTTGAAGATAAAGTCCTTGAAGTAAAAATTCTTTGTCAAAAGGCATGCTAATTTGAATTTCAAAAGATATTGTCAGGTAAGTAATATGATACTTTTTGAAGCAAGAAAATTCATTGCTGGAACATTTATACTTGTTATAAATTTTTAATATATCTAACCAAATCAGCCTTATTCTAAATTTTAACCACTGTTTCTGTTTCTGCCCTCTGGAAGAACCACCACCGCAAAAATAAGTATTTGCCTTTGTAGTATAACTTACATTGAAATACTTTTAAAAAGGCTCATCTAAATATTTTTCTCTTCATGTAGAACATTCTCAGTTTTGCAACTATTCATCTTCGGAACAGTTTCAGAACCTTTATCTGACTGTTTATAATTCTCTGACTTTATCTGTGTCTTTAAGTGTGCTGCTTTCTCCCAGTGCAAAGCCTTGTGAAAAACTTGCAGAGATCTCGTTTGCAATTGATGTGGTCCAAGGAAGAGCCCTCACAAATTCTTACTTCATCTACCAGGGTGTGACAAGACACCATTTCATTTGTTGAATTTTTTTTTGAATTGGAATGAATTAAAGATACATTGCCTTGTCCTACTTAGTATGATAGGAAACAGATTATTTTAGACAGAAATTTTAATGAGCACATGCTATATTTTAGTAAGTTTTTTTTTCTTATGGGTCACAAATGTAATTCCTCTAGATTCCCCAGTTTGTGTAGAGAAGACACTACAGAGTTTTTATGTAGACTAGAAGTTTTTCTATGCATTTATAAGTACATATATTATGCATGTAAAATACACACATATATCTTTTACATTATCTTATACATAATGTCAAATTGAATCTCATTGCATAAATATTAATAAAGGTTTTTAAATCTTTGTATAAAATAAGATTTATAAATCATAAAATGAGATTCAACTTGACATAATGTTCTGCAACCTTTTACACTTGGATCTAGTATTTTTCCTGGGAATTAACATTATTCTTACTTTTTCATAGTTTCTGCAATGTATTTGTTCTCTTGTTTAGAATATCAGAACTTTCTCTTCCAATTTTCTTCGCCATTTCTCAAATATTTGTTCAAGATCACCTCGTACGGCTTTATGATCATTAAAAAATTATTAACAGAACATAGACATGGAAGGCTGTATGTTCTATGGAGTATACTCTGGGGAGCATCTTAAGGCCATCTTTCTAATCAAGTATATATGTACTATGGTTGCTGCAAAGCTGCATTGTAAACATGGAACATAAACCCACAGAAAGACTTGTGCAGAGCGCTCATAGAAGCCTTATCTACAATATCACAATATTACTAGCCAAATGTCTGTTGACAGGTGAATGGATACACAAAATGTGATATATCCATATAATGAAATAATATTAAGCAATAAAAAGTCTATTTAGTACTTGAAATATGCTAACCTGGATCTAGACCCTAGTCCGAGATGGACTAACCTGGACCTCAACCTGAAACATTTTGAAATGACCTGTAGCCTCTTGCTGTCTTCTCCACTCAGCTGCTCTTCTACTTCACTTGACAACTGAAAGATGTTTGCGAATCCCTTCAGAATTTTCTTTTTTATTGTTTGTGTACTAATATACACCATGTTCTGCAGTGGTGTTCTTTTTCACTCCAACTATTATAGGTTTCATCTGAATTTTTAAATTTTGCTTTTAGAAAATATAGGACTGCGTAGAATCATGGTAGTCTTTTCTTTGAGAAGGTTATACATTCTTGATATACAATATCTGAAAAAACCAGAAATAGCTGTGATAAATTACCATGTTTCTGATTATTCAGATGGGTCAGTGGACTATTACAGACTCCAAAGCATCAGAATTGTTGGATGTTTTAAGATTTGCCTTTCATTTATTCTGTGACTCTTTAGGAAAAAGTACCAGAGATAAAATATGGGCATTTATGTAGCAGGGCTCACTCTCCTCATATCACAGGACACTACAATTATGGTAGCATAAGGAGTATTCCTCTTTTTTCCTTTGATTATAAATAATGAGTGCTCCTAGAATTAGAAATAGAGAAATGCAAGAAGCCAATGTTGTTAAAGATGGAATGACTGAAATAAAAGCACAGGAAACTTAAAGTCAGTGATATGTTATAAGTATTGAGGTACTTTTTACATCTTTTATGTGACCTTGTAAACCCCTTGGCAGAAATTCAAACCTTACCACTAAAGTCTGCTAACTTGAGAGAAGAGTGAAAATAAACAGGTCCTGAGGTATCTTAAAGAGTTAGCTAGACCTCGCCTACTATAAGCATAAATTTTGGTATCTAGAGCTTTCCTATTACGAAGTGATTTAATTTTACTTTATACATATAGTATTCCTATTGTTTTAATATATTTAAAGTCTAGTTAAATTTTTATTTTTTCCTTTCAAGCTTCCTGGTAAAACTCTTAACTCCAGGAAGATGGTCCATATTTTAAAAACAGCTTTGTTGGCATACAGTTTATAAACAATTAGCTGCATTTATTAATAGTGTATCATTTTATAAATTTTACATATGTAGGCATCCATGAAATCATCACAATCAAGATAATGAACATACTCATCACCCTCAAAAGTTTATTTGTACCCCTTCGAAAGTTTTCCCTTTTACCCTTCTCTGTACCCCTCCCTGCAAGCAACCACTGATCTGCTTTCTATCAGTATGTATTAGTTTCTATTTATAGAGTTTTATATAAATGGAATCAGGCAGTATTGCTCTTTTCTGTCTTTTTTCCACTCAGCATAATAATTTTGAGATTCATTAATGTTATAGCTGGTATATTCATTCCTTTTTATTGTTTAGTATTATTTCATTATATAAATATATCACATTTTGTGTATCCATTCATCTGTTGGTACACATTTAGGTTGTAATTTGGGGATATTATAAGTAAAGCTTCCTTAAACACTCACACACATGTCTTTCTATGGACGTATGTTTCATATTTTTACTGTGGCTTTGTAGCAACCATAATATACATACCCTTGATTATAATCATGGCCTTAAGACACTCCCTAGAGTATATGCCATGGAGCATAAAGCCTTCCATATTGCTTATGTTCAGTTAATAATTTTTAATGAAGAACCGAATGAATGATGATGTTGGAGAAAAAATAGAAAGGTGTATCACATAATGAAAAGGAACCTCTATTGAATTGGAAAATCTTGACTCTAACTTCTATCTCACCATATAGTATTAAGCAAGTTACTTAATTTCATACACCTTAGCTCCCTACCTGTAGAAAGGAGATAATACAGGTATGTGATCTTTTTACCACAATTAGTACCCAAATCTTTGAAAATCAAAAGATTTTTGATACTCATTTGGTAGAAAAACTTGACCAGACCTATACTTATTTATTGGAAAAGTCTGACCTGAACTGATGAGAAGCTAGTTATAGTGTTACTGAAATACCAAGGGTTTGGCCTAGGTCCTACGCTGCTTGCTGAACAGAAAGCCAATCACTGAGATGATGAGTATTGTTGGAGAAGGAGGCTTTAATAGGGTGCTGCAGCCAAGAAGGGAGCTCAGTCTCAAATCTGTCTCCTTGATGGACTAAAATTAGTGGTTCGTATAGCAAGGAAGAATTGTAACCATGTGTGGGAAAACAGGAACTAGGAATGGGTAAGGAAGAGGAGTTGGTTAATAGGAAGTAGGTGGTTGGTTAGACAATCATGATGGGTAAGGGATCTGCCCTCTCATTGTCCAAATGCAGTGGTCTGATACTATCTGGGAGGACTGATGGTTGATTTTCTGAGCGAGGAACTCAGATAAGACAACTGTAATTTTCTTCAGTTTTAAGACTGGGAGGATCAGTTTCTATGTTTATTCAAAGAAACCATAAACACCAGCTCTATGGGATTCATAGAGGTTTGAGTCCCCCATTTCTATTAATTTCTCAATCATGGAGAATCTGGCTGTTGATCTTTTTGGCTGCTTCATGCTGAGGAGGGGTGTTGTGAGCAGCTCCATACCACGAGTAACCATGCGGCCACTCAGGAATCAAAAGTTAATCTCATCCCAGTTTTCTCCTGAAACACAATCTTTCTCTTTCCAGTCTCCTACTTCCATTAAAGTCAAATTACAGCAGGACCAATCCTCCTGCAAAGTAAGCTTCCATCTCATATACTTGGCCTGATTACCCACACAATGTGCAGCAAGAATCATTGTCTATATAGGCTCTCTTAAATTGGCTTTTCTGTAGCCTCTCACAAGGCCATTTCAGTCAAAGCCCTGGGAAAATACGTTCCTCCAATTGTGTCCCATTGTTTAACAAAACAAAACAAAACAAAAACGGATTCTTACTGAACTCTTACAGCCAAAAACATTGCCATGAATTAAGAATATTCACAAACAGTTTACAAATTCTGGATAAATTAGGCAGAGAGAGAGAAATATGTCCCAAATTCTGTTTACAAGAGTATACTCTACTCAAGCATTAAAGGTTGTAAATAGCTCAGCAGGAAAACAGTTCTCCAGAGTCTGAAGAGTCAGCAGTGGTTCAAACAACAACAATAACAACAAAGCCATTAAAATGATTTTAGTTCTCCATCAGTTTAATCCATAAAATCAACTGCTGCTCTGCTTCATGTTGGGTTAGCAATCCTTATGAACACATTAGCCTTTTAATTAGAGTCCCGGAAGTTTTCTCTCTAATCCAATGGCATAATCTATAAAGTTATAAGAAACCAGTGTTCAAAAGTCCTTTTCATGAACTCCTTAAAAGAAGTAAGCCCTGGGCTGTAGCTGATTATAAGTCACCTTGAGAAGAATTATTGGGGGAACCATCCCCCAATATTTCAACATAGGTTCTTTCTATTTTCCCTAAGTGTTGGCCAGTCTGAGAAATAAAGAGAAAGAGTACAAAGAGAGAAATTTTACAGCTGAGCATCCAGGGGTGTCATCACATATTGGTAGGACCATGATGGCGACCTCAAGCCACAAAACCAGCAGGTTTTTATTTGGGATTTTAAAAGGGGAGGGGTTGTATGAACAGGGAGTAGGTCACAAGGATCACATGCTTCAAAGGGCAATAAAGATCACAAGGCAAGGCAAAATTAGAGTTACTGATGAGGGTCTGTGTCCCACTGTGCACACATTATCTTGATAAATATCTTAACAGGAAACAGGGTTCAAGAGAAGACAGCCAGTCTGACTAGAATTTACCAGGATGGAATTTCCCAATCCTAGTAAGCCTGAGGGCACTGCAGGAGACCAGGGCATATTTCAGTCCTTATCTCAACTGCGCAAGACAGACCACTCCCAGAGCGGCCGTGTATAGACCTACCCCCGGGAGTGCATTCCTTCCCCAGGGCTGTTCCTTGCTGGGAAAAGAATTCAGCGATATTTCTCCTACTCACACATCCATCTATAGGTTTTCTGAGAGAAGAAAAATATGGCTGTATTCTGCCCGACCCCGCAGGCAGTCAGACCTTATGGTTATCTTTCCTTGTTCCCTGAAAATTGCTGTTATTCTGTTCTTTTTCAGGGTGCACTGATTTCATATTGTTCAAATACATGTTTTACAAACAATTTGTGCAGTTAATGCAATCATCACAGGGTCTTGAGGTGACATACATCCTCAGCTTACAAAGATGACAGGATTAAGAGATTAAAGTAAGACAGGCATAAGAAATTATAAGAGTATTAATTGGGGAAGTGATAAATGTCCATGAAATCTTCACAATTTATGTTCAGAGATTGCAGTAAAGACAGGCATAAGAAATTATAAAAGTATTAATTTTGGGAACTGATAAATGTCCATGAAATCTTCACAATTTATGTTCTTCTGCCACGGCTTCAGCCAGTCCCTCCGTTCGGGGTCCCTGTCTTCTCACAACAAGAATCAAAGCAAAACAACAACTGTCTTAAGACAGTCATAACCACACAATTGACAAGGAAATTTGCTTATTTCTGTGTCATACAACAATTTAACATAATAATCATAATTATTACAATATGTATTAGGACATATCAGAATTTTAGGACTCTCCTACATTCCTAGAACACATATTAACAACACATCTATAGAAATATAACCCCCAAAAAGTTAAATACCACCTCACATTTGACAATGCTTCCTGTATAATTCTAACATACCAAATAAATCTAATATGTCTCTTTTGGAATTCAGGATACCCAATATTTTAAAAAGGTTATCTCGAGGTTAAAATACTGATCTAGAACTTGAAATTTTTCTGCTGGAAAGTCTGTCAAAAATCAAAGATTTAAGACACTTGAGATCACAAAATAAGTTCACAAGTTACTAAAAAATAGTCATTCATTTAGCCAAAATCATAATACAAAAATGTTTACTTTTTGATAGAGAGGAGACTCAATTTCCTTAACAATAAAACCTGATAAAAACTGCACAGCACCAGCTAAATCTGTCTTCCCCACTCCTTCTTTTTTTCTTCTACAGTTTTACTCAAAAGGTAAATAGAAATCTCTTATTATCTCTTACATGAAAATTTTGTTCAAAAGAGAAAACCAAATTTTACCTTTGTATGTTGTATTATTAATGTCAAAACTAATTTTAATAAAACTTTATAAACAAATCTATCTAACTTTAATCAGTTTGATCACAAGGTAAGATTTCCATGAACTTTTTGTAACTTTTTACAGTTTTCTACTAAAGAGCAGATTAATGCTCCAAGAAAACCATGTTATTTAGACATAGAGGTCCAGTTGCTGGCCTTGCATTAGTGTGCTTTTGATATTAATGTTTAGTTTATAGAAACACTCTGAGCTAATCTTATCCCTCAAATTCAGCTCTTGCGGTCTCATGTGCCCACCTCTTCTGTGATAGTCCCTGGGCCTAGAGGGATTGAATAGTTGTTATTTTATTTCATTTCTGCTTTTGTGTCAATACTCAAGATTTAGCAGGGATCAGTGCCTTTTTTCAGACCCAGTGGTCAAAGCCCTGCAACTTAACAGTACAGGGATTAGTTAATAGGATATTTATATTACAGAAAGTCCTATCATTCTCTCTAACATGTCAGAAATAAAAACACTGTGATTTGGTGCTCAGGAGTTATTGCTTGCAGCACTTCAAACCACTGTATTAAAGTAGTTAAGTTACTCACTACACATGTCTAATTGCTGATACTCTAGTGACAGAGCTGTGACTAAAAGCATCAAAAGTGTGACAGGTCCTATGTTAAACTTATCAAAGCAAGACAACTAACTTGTTTCTCCATCATTAAAAACATAGTAAATGCAAATATTAGTTTTGGAAATGCAATATGAAGACAAATAATTTCCTTTCACTTAAATATTTTATAATGAAACTGAGATAAAGTAAGAACAAGCAAAGAATTAATTTATTTTCAGCTATTTAAAATAGCATTACATAATTCCAAGATTAGTTTCTAGATACAGCACTGACAACTTATTAGAGAACTCTCTGCTGAAATCTTCAAACTAGTGCAACACTTGTATTTCTTTGGTTTTCAAGTATGCACATGAAGGCTCATCAGTGATAAACTGCTTGGGATCAAAAATCACTAGACAGAATCACATACTTTTTATTACTACTTAATCCAAGTGAATGTCACTTAATTTTAATAATGACTAACACACCTAAGTTAATTTCAGAGAAATTTCAATCAATATAACTTCCTTAAGGACAAGGCCAATCTTTCCTGAACATTAAAACTTTGTACCCATTTTATAGTTTTTCCTCATTACTTAAAGGATTATATCTGAAACCAACTCAAATTATTGATTGATTGAATTACCTTGGAAATAAACACCATTTAAACATTTTAATTATCACCAATCTTTTCAAATAACAAAATAAATAATGTACTGTTTCTGCTTAAAACTTGTAAAAATAGTTCATTTTTTTTAAAACCAGGAACCTTAAAGCTCTTGTGTCTCTCTAGATCATCAGAGGTAAGCAATAGCAACAAGTTTTAAATGGCTGGTGTCCTCTATCAATTTTTGCTTGCTTGACAAATATAGGTTAGAAATTTTAGATAAATAAAATAGATGATTAATTGCTGGAAATGTGTAGGAAACAAAATGACTATTCATGGAACCAAATAAAAGCCTTCCATTAGAAATGAAAAAATATCAATCATTTTATATACATGTATATGAAAGTAAAACCCAAAGGAGAACAAACAGCAAATAATTGAAAATTAAAAGCAAAAACAAAGAACAGGAAACCAAGTCCAAATTTCTCTTCTGCTCAGTTTACCTTGGAGGCCACAGTGTTACTCAGAATCTAAAAAATTCACATGATGTATATTTTGTTCCTGGTACACAAATTGATGTTTTTAAGTCCACCAAAAACACTATACTTTCTGTACAATTAAGAAATTCACTTTAGGTGTATGATCAGTAAGTACTTAGTGCTGGTAGCATCTATGCAGAAGGCCAAATACAGTGTGAAATAAAGCAATGGAAGCATTTATGTTAAATTTGGCTCCATGTTAATCTTCTTTCACTTAAATATTTTATAACAAAACAGGAACAAAGTAAGAACAAACAAACAACTAATTTATTGTTAGCTATTTAAAAGAGTATCATCACATAATTCCAAGATTAGTTTCTAGATACAGTTTGGCTTCATGCTTAACTGCCATTGTATTTCATTACAAAATGTATTAATTTACCTTCATCAAGACCAAGAGCTTTAATTATGAGCAATGTTAACTAGCCAAATTTCTCTAATTTTCTCTCAGGTTTTAAAGAATATTTTACTATCTAAACTGTTTCATCTTTATTTTCTCTGTGTGTGCATGAAGGGTAGTCATATAGAGAAACAGGAAAAAGCTACATATGACTTACATGGACCATCTATGACATGCTTGGGCTTTCTGTTTTGTACTAACTTTTCTTTTCTTTTTAAAATAAGCAGTCATTTTATTTTGGGACAAAAATTCACCATACACGATCCTTTGTCATACAAAATTCTTTATTTTCTTTTTTCTTTTTTTTGAGACAGAGTCTCACTCTGTCACCCAGGCTGGAGTGCCGTGGCATGATCTTGGCTCACTGCAAGCTCTGCCTCCCAGGTTCAGGCCATTCTACTGCCTCAGCCTCCTGAGTAGCTGGGACTACAGGCATCTGCAACCACGCCTGGCTAATTTTTTGTTTTTAGTAGAGATGGGGTTTCACCATATTAGCCAGGATGGTCTCAATCTCCTGACCTCGTGATTTGCCCGCCTTCGCCTTCCGAAGGGCTGGGATTACAGGCATGATCTTTTTTTTCTTTATAACCTTCCCTACCAAAAATATATCTTCATGTCCTTAACTTTCTTTATATCCCTCTCCCCTACTTACTTGTTCCTTTCTATCTTGTTTCATAAATAACCTTTTCAAGTCCGTAATTCTAATTAACCTTTAGATACCCTCTGAATTAGGCAAAACTATTCTTTTTCTCACAAAGAACACATCTTCTTTGGCACATGTTATACACTGAATTATATATTAACTATAATTCTTATCCTTAGTAACTTTAAATTTTAATGAAAACCTAGGAAGCAAGAAATTCTGAGCTGCCTTTCAGATATTAACATTTGGTAGATGAGAACCATTTCACAACCTTTAGAAATATGTTTCCCCATATCATAACTTTTTCTTAATTAGAAATGACTCAGACATCCAAATAGCATAAAAAATAATTTTAAGATTTTAAGTTACAGGCTGGGCATGGTGGCTCATGCCTGTAATCCCAGCACTTTGGGAGGCCGAGGCGGGTGGATCACGAGGTCAGGAGATCAAGACCATCCTGGCTAACACAGTGAAACCCCGTCTCTACTAAAAATACAAAGAATTAGCTGGGCATGGTGGTGGGTGCCTGTAGTCCCAGCTACTCAGGAGGCTGAGGCAGGACAATGGCATGAACCTGGGAGGTGGAGTTTGCAGTGAGCCGAAATCGCACCACTGCACTCCAGCCAGGGTAACAGAGCAAGACTCCATCTCAAAAAGAAAAAAGAAAAAAAAAGATTTTAAGTTACACAGAAAATTCACCTACAACACTTACCCATTTACATTTTCCTTATTTTTAGCAATTTATCTAGATTTGTGAATCATTTCCTTGTTAACCATTTTATAACCTGTGAATATCAGGTAATCACCTAAGTAAGAATCTTAGAGTTAACTACATGTGCATGTTCACCAATAACTCAGAAGATTCAGCTATTTTTGTTAAACCAACATTAAATAGGTCTTACTTATCAAAAAAATTCACACAAAGATCATTTTGTTTTGGCTGGGTTTATAGTTGTGTAACCTCTATGTCAAACCCTGATACCTAAAAATATCTAGCAGAGACAAATATAAAACCCCAACAAAAATGTATGCTGACAACACTGAAGACATTTCTTTTTTTATATTACCAATAATTTTAAAGCCAGGCTTGTTTATTAAAGTTTTAGTTAAGTCACATGTAAATTACTTGGACTTATTTACTTATTAGTGATCTTTTATTTATAAGCCAATTTGGTAGACACAATGTGTAATAAATGTACATACACATAAACACATCTAGACATGTATACACACACACAAAGATCCAACAACTTTTATCTTGGAACTCTAGTCATGTGATATAAATACATACTTACCAGCCTACAAACATGTTCACATGGTTCAACTTTGTTTGCCCCAGTAGGTAATCCACTGAAGGCTGTGAACCAAAATTTCAGGTAAAGCAGTTTCCATGGCAGTTTGATTTGTAAAGGCCAAACCTTCCCAGACTCCAAAGAACAATGGGGCAAAACAGCATCACAGAACCTTACCTGGAACCTACTAACCAGGCCCAACCCTGCTTAGAATAGCAGCATTAAAGCCTGTATATCTGGAACTCCATTTCACTTTCCCATTATCAACAGCAAACTCCAGATTCCAAACAATGTTGGGGCCAAAAAAAAGAAAATCAGTTTACTGAATTCCAATTTCCCATGACTATGTTGACACACACACAAACAATCACCAAAACACAATCCAAGTGCTTCAGCAATAAACAAGCACCAAATGTGTCTAAATTGGAACAGTCAATGTGCTTCCTCTCTCAATCAGTTGGGCTTTATCCACTTGCAAATGGAAATTCCAACCAAAATTGAGAGGAACTGACCCACTCTCTGGTACCCACAAAAGACACTCAGTTGCCCAGACACACACACAACACACAATTAGAAATAAGCCCCCAGAGTGTCCATATTGAAACAGTCAGTGTGCTGCCATCTCTCAGTCAGTTGGCCTTGTCCACTTGCCAATGGAACTTCCTCTAAAAATTTCCCAAATTGAAAAGAGCAGATCATGCTATCTGGGCCTACAAAGGAAATTTCACCTGTCCCAATGCAGATATCAAATTTAAAGATTGTTCTTTCTAGGCATTCAGGAAAGCAGCTGGGGCCAGCAGCAGCAGGACCAGAGAGGGAAACAGACCCATGTCCAGCCAAAAAAAAAAAAAAAAAAAAAAAGGGTCAAGCGGCTACTTAGAAGGTCTTTTGAAATTCCTGACCCACAGCAACCAAGCCACCAGCAATATGTTCCTGGTCAGGGAACCGGAATTTGTTACTGAAACACCAAAGATTCAGTGTAGGTCTTGCTGCTCACTGCACAGAAAGCCATTCACTGAGACAATGAGTATTGCCAGAGGAGAAGGCTTTAATCAGGTGCTGCTTCCAAGGAGATGAAAGATTAGCCTCAAATCCATCTCCCTGATGGACTAAAATTATGGGTTTATATAGCAGGAAAGAAATGTAACCCTGTGTGGGAAGACAGGAATTAGGGAGGGGTAAGGAAGAGGAGTTGGTCGACAGGAAGCAGATGGTTGGTTAAGCAATCATTATAAGTGAGGGGTCTGACACCCCATTGTCCAAAAGCACCATATAGTGAGTTTCAGCTTCTTGATACTATCTGGGCGTCCTGATGGTTGATTTCCTGAGAAAGGAACTCAGATACGACAATTGTGATTGTCTTCAGTTTTAAGACTGGGAGGATCCATTTCTATGTTTATTCAAAGAAACCATAAACATCAGCTCTATGGGGCAATTGGGTCAGTTGCAATAGTTTTATTTATCACACTTTGTACAACCATTCTGATGTGTTGCTGCAAAAATATTAATAAATTTGATTATGGGTTGCTGCTCTATATCCCATTGGTGTTACCTAATGTGCATTTTATACATTGTATTATACTTCTAAAATTGCCAGATTTTTCATTCTAAAACATATGTTGCCTTGATAAAAATTGTGGGCTCTACATATTTCTCTAGCTACCTATATTAGAATTAGATTTGGTTAGGGTTTTTTTTTTTTCCATAGGTTATTGGGGAACCTGTGGTGTTTGGTTACATGAGTAAGTTTTTTAGTGGTAATTTGTGAGATGTTGGCGTAACCATCACCTAAGCAGTATACACTGCACCCAATTTGTGGTTTTTATCCCTCACCCCATTCCCACCCTTTCCCCTTGAGTCCCCAAAGCCTATTTTTCATTCTCATTCCTTTGCATCATCATAGCTTAGCTCCCACTTATGAGTGAGAACATACTATGTTTGGTTTTCCATTTCTGAGTTACTTCATTTAGAATAATAGTCTCCAATCTCATCGAGGTTGCCGTGAATGTCATTAGTTTATTTCTTTTTTTGGCTGAGTAGTATTCCATCACATATATGTATATATTATATTGTATGTGTGTGTGTGTGTATAATATATATGTGTGTGTGTGTATATAAAATAGTTTCTTTATCCACTTGCTGATTGATGGGCATTTGGGCTGGTTCCACATTTTTGCAATTTTGAATTGTGCTCCTTTAAACATGTGTGTGCAAGTATCTATTTTTGTATAATGATTTCTTTTCCTTTGGGTAGCTACTCAGTAGTGGGATTGCTGGATTAAATGGTAGTTCTACTTTTAGTTTTTTAAGGAATCTCCACATTGTTTTCCATAGTGGCAGTACTAGTTTACACTCCTACCAGCAATGTAGAAATGTTCCCTGTTCACTGCATGCATGCCAACATCTATTATTTTTGATTTTTTGATTATGGCCATTCTTGCAGGAGTGAGGTGGTATCTCATTGTGGTTTTGATTTTCATTTTTCTGATCATTAGTGATGTTGAGCATTTTTTCATATGTTTGTTGGTCATTTATATATTTTCTTTTGAGAATTGTCTATTCATGTCGTTTGCCCACTTTTTGATGGGGTTGTTTGTTTTTTTCTTCCTAATTTGTTTGAGTTCGTTGTAGATTCTGGATATTAGTCCTTTGTCAGATGTATAGATTGAAGATTTTCTCCCACTCTGTGGGTCATCTGTTTACCCAACTGACTGTTCCTTTTGTCATGCAAAAGCTCTTTAATTTAATTAAGTACCATCTATTCATCTTTGTTTTTATTGCATTTGATTTTGGGTTCTTTATCATGAAATCCTTGCCTAAGCCAATGTCTAGAAGGATTTTTCCAATGTTGTCTTCTAGAGTTTTTATAGTTTTAGGTCTTAGATTTATGTTCTTGATCCATCTTGAGTTGATTTTTATATAAGGTGAAAGATGAGGATCCAGTTTCATTCTCCTACATGTGGCTTGCCAATTATCCCAGCACCATTTGTTGAATTGGGTGTCCTTTTCCCACTTTGTTTTTGTTTGCTTTGTCAAAGATCTTTTGGCTGAAAGTATTTGAGTTTATTTCTGGATTCTCTATTCTGTTCCATTTGTCTATGTGCCTATACAAGTACCATGCTGATTTGGTTATGGTTGACAGAAAACACATAAAAAATGGCTCAAATAAGAAGTTTATTTCACTCTTATAAAAAAGTTCAGAGATAAGCAGTTCCAAGGCTTTATTATGGCCACAAAATGTCAGGGCTCAAGGCTTCTTCTATCTTGTAACTCCGTCTTATATGATATTTGATCCTAAGAGCATGTCATAGGTAAAATGGCTGCTGAAGTGCCAGCCATTTCACTTACTTTTCCACCAGCATGAAGGTAGAAAAGGAGGAGAAAGGCTAGGTCACATCTTTTAAGGACCCTTCCCAGAAATTATAAATACTACTTTAGTCTGAATTTAGTCACATGGACATATCTGATGCAATAGAGTATAGGAAATATCTTTGTTTCAGACTGCTGTAAATCTAGCTAAAAATTTATGGTCTTGTGACTATAGAAGAAGATAACAGATACTGAGAAAAATTGTAGTCTTTGCCCCACTGCCCTTCTATCTTATTGGGTAGTTGTCAAAGAGAAGTAATAAACATGAAAACAACTTAAAAGAGTCAAAAGCTCTACATAATTCTATGTTTAATAACAAGAAGGGACTTAGGGTATTTTTTTTTTTGAAACATCACATTCTTCCATGGTTTTGATGTATCATTTTGGTGGTTTCTCGACATATCATTGGGATAATGTTGTAAATGGTGGATAAATGCCAATTTCTACTATTCCTCAAAGACTTTCTTAATTATTTTTTTGTCTACCAGGAAATCTAGTGGGTTTTTTAAAAAGACACTTGAACATCTGGCATGTTTCCAGGAAGCCATAATACAAAGTTAAAACAGCTTTAGCTTCAAACATAGTTTTGTTCACTTTTGTCCCCCATATTTTTTCTGGATCTTTTCTTAGAACTGTGAACCTGGTAACAGCTCTGTGGCTAGTAAATCTTATTCACACCTACTTGTGCAAATGCTAATATTATTTCCTAAATATCTTTTATATTTTTGCAGGATAATACTTTAATACTTGCTATTATTATTTAAACCAATTAAAGACACAAGACTATCTAACCTAGAGAAAAATAAAAGAAGAAAAATTAAATTCAGCTTTACTTAGGTAATTTTGGAGAGTTATAATTCTACAAGTTGTGTATGCTTGTGATATATAGGTAAGCAGTCTAGGCATAATTTACATCCTTTGCTATGCAGTGGGGGGCTGGAATTCTGCATCTCTGCCTGTGACTGGTTTAGTTAAGTGAATTCAATTTAGAGGACAAAGATTAAGATACCTAAGTTTGTTGGGGTCACGTCACATTTTTTCAGCCAACCTTGCCTCCAATAACAATAATATCACATTTTGTTCCCCTTTAACTCTTGTATATGTTTCGCAACCGACTTGGAACTTGAAGAGGAAAAGGGATAATTTGTGTCCCCAAATCCCAGCAATACTCAATGAACAATTATCTGATAAATGGAATGATGACTGGTTGAGTGACTAAGTGAGCCAAAGTGCTTCCCAATGATATGGAAGTTAATCTGTAGAGGTGTGATGAGTGTTTATACCAACCCAAAGAATAATGTTTGAGACATGTATAGGACAATAAAGGCATTTCTGTTCCAGTGAGGAAAAAGCCAGAATCAGGCTTTGAGTATACTTGGGAGGGTTGAATTCAGGATATTGATGAGTCTCTTTTAGGGGACAGTGGACTGCTGGGTGGCACTTTAGGAGAAACTCTATAATTCAATAAGAAAAGAGGATTTTGAGCACCCTGACATCTCTAGGTATAGCCTCAGCCACATACTTATCAGCCCTCTTGGCTCCACAGTAAATCTGAATCTTGTTTTATAATAACGCTGGTAAATGTTTATTTTGGTTTTAAAAATTTAGGAGATAAATTCAGTCTTGGGTTTATTCCATAAAATAAACATGCTGTTAGCAGAGGCTAAACTAGGATGGATTCTCGATTGGTACTTCGGAAGTATAATCGGCCATGGGATTTTGTCCAAGGGCTATCAATGATCGTATGTTTTGGCTTTCTGTCTCTTTTTTCTACCTGATGCTCTATCACTCAGGGTAGAATAAGAGAATGATTATTTTCCTAAGAGATTTGGGGAATTCAGTCTCGATGGCTCCACAATGTCCACACAGATGCTCTAGTTAAAAAAGAAGAAAGCCTTTGGTTTGGTGCCTTTATTTCACTCTATGTACTATTAGTTTCCATTCAATAAAAGGGAAATACAACATTTCTTTTTTCCCTTTGGTTTTCATCACGAACAGACACATTCAGAACTTTTACCAAGGCTGGTCCTTGAGGGTATTGTGCTACAGCTGTTTTTTATTCTTGCTCCTAGGTGGCCTTGCCGAAATAAAATTTTGCTCTTTAGATGCATAGATACTTGGTTGAAAGTGTAAGTAAATTGAGGGACTTCTAGTTTGCCTGAATAAATCTGTATTAATTTAAACAATTAGAAATTTATAACTCCATAAGACCAAAGAAAGATAATTCAAAAAATTGGCTCATTGTATTTTAGAGCTAAACTTTCTTACTTTTAAAGACTATGGTGGCAATTAAATTGAATGTCTTAATCCTACAGACAAGGAGACTGGGGGGCAGAGATGTTAAGCCACATTCCTAATATAATATTCTATTCCATAGTCGTACCAGGATTAAAACCCAGCTCCCAGAGTCCAATACAAGACTCTTTTTCACTTAATGCCATGTGACTCCTTTCTTTTAAAAATAAAATAATGGGTTTGCTTTACGAATGTCAACTGGCTGATGCATATAAGAAAGTCTATTATGGGAAATGTCAACCCACTTTGTGTTGCTGGAGATACAGAGATGCTTCTCAGATGGTAACTCTTTGTGGGGTCCAGGAAATCTCTCTCTCCTCCCTCCTCACTGTTTTACATTATATTACCCCTCCTACCCGTGGGCTCCCACCTTCCTCTCCAATCAAGCCTCCTTTCTCCACAGAAGAGGTGGTCATAAAGACGTTAGTAAAAATGAATCTAGCTAAAGTTGCTGAATGCTTGTGAGTCCTACTTTCATCAGCAAAAACAACAATAAAGTTTGTCTTGCAGAAGGGTCCCAAGGACCTAACTCATCTTTTCTGATCTCAAAACTGAGACAAGCTCAAGTTGCTTGTGGAAACCTGTGTCTTTTCTTCCAAAGATAATAAGTAACAGACCCTCTGAGTGTCTGTTGAAAAGAAGAGAAAAGAGACTGTCTGCCTTTGTATTCCCCAGGGAGCAAAAGCTATTGTGAGGAAGCAGACAGGCCTTGTGCTGCAGCCTGGCTCACAATGGCACATGCTAGTGACAAGAGACATAACATCGGAGCTGTGGCTCCTGCATGGCTGCAACTATTGATACAAGTTGTGTTGACTTGTAGTTATTACAGCTTCAATCGGGACACTGCATTCCAAATAGTAATCAGTACCATACAAACTTTTCCAATATGCACTCCTCAGTCTAATTAAGCAAAATGTAAATATACATTTGAAAGCAAGTTCTCCTTTATATGGAATAAATTGCTTTATTTTTAAGTTAGTTTAGCATGTGACCAGAGTCAATGGAAGGAAAAGCAACATCTATTTTATTACTGATGGGAGGCAAGAATTTTAATATCCACAGATAAATTTAATGAGGACCATCTTTCTTATCTTTGGAGGAATATAGTTTACATATGCAGTGCCTTTCAATCTAACATGTTTAAGTTCTATGTGTGTATATTTGCACATGAATAAAACAAAAAGCTAATGAAATTAGAGTTTTAGAACTAGAGGGAAATGTAAATGTACCCTATTTCAGCTCTTCTGTCTTACAGTTCAATTTTCCATATTACAGTTCACACTCTTAGAAATTGAGATCTATAGGAGATTAGGAATCTGTCCATTAGTTGCAGAATAACAAATATTCAAATTCTTTAAAATTTTATATTCTGGTATATTGGTCTAGATCCCAAATTACCAAAAAATTTATGAAAAAAAATTAAATAGAAATAATTAAATAACTTATTAATACCTATAAAAGTACTTGAATTACACACTGAATTATTAACATTTATTGCATTTTAATACAATATGAAGGTAAAATGTATTTTGTGGTATGTGAAATTTCATGTTTTAAATATTTTTCTTGATTGATAACATTTTAACCAATCAGATCACCTCACTCACTGAATGCCTTGGCTAATAGAGAACTCTGAAATTTAATCCCAAAGTGGGCAATCCTGTGATATTCTGAATAATTTAGCCATTTTTCTCCTCATCTATTGGAGAAGAAATACATTTTTTTATTATCAAACAAATAGGCAAGATTTTTGAATGAATAAAATTATTTAGGTAATTTCTAATCTCCCCCTTTTACTGGTATAGACATAAATGGTATTGTTTTTTATTTGAAGGAAAGTTTTCATGTAAAGTTTTTAGCAAATTCTACTCTTAAAAGATTGTATATCACCAGAAAAGAATTAAAAACAAACCAGAGATGAAGAATGTAAAGAAGGAGTCTCTTGCAGCATGCCAGCAGAGGGGTGCAGGGTCACAAATAGCCTGTAAAAATCAAGTTTTGATGGAAGGAAGATGACAGGTTGATGACAACTGGAGAGAGGAAGTAGACTGAAATCCTCAGTTCTCAAACTTTAACATGGTAACTGGGGTACTTGCTTTAACTCAGATTCCTAGGTGCCACTTCAGAGATTCTTTAGCTCTGAGTTAAGGCACAGAAATCTGCAGTTTTAACAAGAAGTGCTAATGTACAGATGCAAGTGATTTGGGGCCATGCTTGAGAAATCCTAATTTAAATTATAGCACAGGGAATGTAGGTTATGTAAAAGAAAAAAACAAAGGACTGTCCAATTAACACCACAATAAATTCCTGTGTGAAAAAGTGGACATTCTTTTCTAGAACAATATTTTGCAACAGTCACCAGCTACTTCTCATAAAAAGTTTCTGCTCAGACCAGGCACAGTGACTCATGCCTTTAATCCCAGCACTTTGGGAGGCTGAGGTGGGCAGATCACCTGAGGTCAGGAGTTCGAAAACAGACTGGCCAACATAGTGAAACCCCATCTCTACTAAAAATACAAAAATTAGGCAGGCGTGGTGACAGGCGCCTGTAATCCCAGCTACTTGGGAGGCTGAGGCAGGAGAATCACTTGAACCTGAGAGGTGGAGGTTGTAGTGAGCCGAGATTGCACTACTGCACTCCAGCCTGGGCAACAGAGTGAAACTCTGTCTCAAAAAAAAAAAAAAAAGTTTCTGCCCAGATAATCCTGGAAAATTTCTATGCTCTAATCAATATTTAGAAATTCGTAGATTATTCTAACATGCAAAAAGGTGTTGCAGTACAAAACTCTAACTCTGTTTAAGTGATTTTCTATATTTACTTAATCATGGAATGTATTTTTATTTAACCAGAATTCCTATTTGTATCCCATGATCCTATCCTCAGAAAAACCACTTAGGAAAACAATAGAGTAATAGAGAAGTTTTGACCTTTTGAGCTGATATACAAGCACCTCTATTATCAAATGCCCCAAAAGCCTACTATTAAATCTCTTTACCTGTGAATGAAGATGTTCAGGCCTTTGGGGGCTTTATACAGGGACACTCTGCTGTTGTTCTGGCTGAGTATTGTTTGAAAGATTCTTCTCTGTAACTAGGAAGCTCTATTTATAATTTCTTATTTTTTCCCCTCCATGATTGGAAGTACTTTTAGCTATAGCAAGCTGTATTGAGTTTTCCAATTTAACTATTTCATGCCTATTTATATATTGAGTCACATCATTTAGTTATCATTTTTGGACAGTGACAAAATGACAGTGGATAGGGTTTTCTCTTCTCTTTGTAGAAAACAAAACAAAACTCTTCATAGAAAACACAGGATTTTCTGAATGATTCCAAAATAATTTGAAATCTGTCTTTTATTATGCTATATGATCTAACTCCAATCCTAGAATGATCAAGCCATCTCTGTCTCCATGGCTGCTTACAAACATCCGAGTTCTGCCAGAGAAAGCCACAGAAATAGACATAAGTTCTATTATGAATTCATGATCACTAAACTCAAAGAAGCCTTCACCCTACCAGTTAATTCTACTATATAGTGGTTCCCCATTATTCATGGGGATACATTCCAAGATTCCCAGGGGATGCCTGAAACCACAGATAGTACTGAATCCTACATATACTATATTTTTTCCTATACATACATACCTGTGATAAAGTTTAATTTATAAAGTAGACACAGCAAAAGATGATCAACAATAGAACAACTATAACAATATATTGTAATACAAATTATATGAATGTTGCATCTCCCTCTTTTTCTCTTTCTTCTCAAAATATCTTAATACTATGTATAATACCTACCTCTTTTCAGACAGCAGTTAACCGTGGGTAACTAAAATCATGGAAAGTGAAATCCTGGATAAGAGAGGACTACTGTCAGAGGTGTCTGAACTAGAGTGACTTCATTTTGAATAGGGGCTGGGTAAAATAGGCTGAGACCTATTGAGCTGTGTTCCCAGGAGGGTAAGGCATTCTTAGTCACAAGATGAGATGGGAGGTCGGCACGATACAGGTCTTAAAGACCTTGCTAATAAAACAGGTTGCAGTAAAGAAGCCAGCGAAAACCCACCAAAACCAAGATGGCCATGAGAGTGATCTCTGGTCAGCCTCACTGCTACACTCCCAGCAGCGCATTGACAGTTTACAAATGCCGTGGAAATGTCAGGAAGTTACTCTATATGGTCTAAAAAGGAGAGGCATGAATAATCCACCCCTTGTTTAGCATATAATCAGGAAATAACCATAACAATGGGCAACCAGCAGCCCTCAGTGCTGTTCTGCTTATGGAGTAGCCATTCTTTTATTCCTTTACTTTTGTGCATGTGTGCACCACGTGTGCAGTGGCATGATCTCGGTTCACTGCAACCTCTGCCTCCTGGGATCAAGCTATTCTTGTGCCTCAGCCTCCCAAGTAACTGGGATTACAGGCACGCACCACCACGCCCAGCTAATTTTTTTCTGTATTTTTGATAGAGATGGGGTTTGGCCATGTTGGGCAGGCTAGTCTCAAAGTCCTGACCTCAGGTGATCTGCCCACCTCGGTTTCCCAAAGTGCTGGGATTACAGACATGGGCCACCATACCATGCCTATTCCTTTACTTTCTTAATAAACTTGCTTTCATTTTATGGACTCACCTTGAATTTTTCCTTGTGTGAGATCCAAGAACCAAACTTCTCTTGGAGTCTGGATTGGGACCCCTTTCCATTGACACTACTGTACATCTCTCATACTCATCAATGACAACTACATTTTCACATTTTGTCTAACTCTCTTTTTCCCTCACCCCAAGATGAACCTCAACCTTATGATCTACTTCATGAGAAACTAGAAGATATGAGTTGGAAATATCATGAAGCATAGAATCTTCACAGATCTGCCCCTCTACTGTCATTTTTCCTTTTTATTATAATTTAAGAGCCTTTCCTCTTCCTCTGTAAGGCTAATCCTTCCACAGGTACTCTGGCTTCCTTCCCGTCACAGCTCCTAAGGAATCACAGATTCATACCTTTCTCCTACTGAATATTTATTATGTATTATGAACCAGACAATATTCTAAATTCTAAGGATATACCTGTGGACAGATTAAAGATGCCTGCCTTTTAAAAAGTTGTATTCTAGTAAAATATTATTCTTTACATTATGTGTAATGCCTTCTTCATTTGTACATGCAATCTCTCTCTTTATCTGGATCATTTCCATTGGTTTTTCACATTTAAGAAAAGCAAAACTGTCTGGGTGTGGTGGCTCACTCCTGTAATCTCAGCACTTTGGGAGGCCAATGCGGGCAGATGGCTTGAGCTCACAAGTTCAAGACCAGCCTAGGCAACATGGTGAAACCTGTCTCTACAAAAAATACAAAAATTAGCTGGGTATGTGGTAGTGGGAGCCTGTAATCCCACCTTCTCTGGAGGCTGAGCATGAGAATCACTTAAGCCTAGGAGGCAGAGTTTGCAGTGAGTCGAGATTGTACCACTGCACTACAGCCTGGGTGATAGAACCAGACCTTGTCTCAAAAGAAAAAAAAAAAAGCAAAATCAAATACTATAAATATCTCTCTCTCCAGCTATGGCCCTATATTATTGCTTCATGCCACAGCCATACTTCTTAAGAGTTTACTTTCTTGGCCAGGCACGGTGGCTCACTCCTGTAATCCCAGCACTTTGGGAGGCCAAGGTGGGTGGATCACCTGAGGTCAGGAGTTCAAGACCTGCTTGGCCAACATGGTGAAACCCTGTCCCTACTGAAAACACAAAAATTAGCCAGACGTGATGGCAGGTGCCTGTGATCCTAGCTACTTGGGAGGCTGAGACAGGAGAATAACTTGAACCTGGGAGGCAGAGGTTGCAGTGAGCCTGGATCACACCATTGCACTCCAGACTGGGTGACTGAGTAAAACTCTGTCTCAAAAAAAAAGTGTTTACTTTTTCAAAGAATTGCCTAGTTGCCCATATCTGCTATTCTATTTACTCATCCTCTATTATTCCTTATTTACAATATTACTTCTGCCTCTATTATTTCACTTAGATAGCTCTTATTTCAGACAATGAGTTCCAGTGTTGCTGGATTTCAGTATGCACTTTTCAGTCTTCATCCTCCTTACTTTTCAGTACATTTGATTCTGACAGGTACTTCCTGCAACACTCATTCCCCATTGATTTCTATGATACCATTCTTCCTTGGTTTCTTATCCAGGAACTTCCTTTCTCTCTTCCTGGCTCATCCACTTCTACCAGTCATTATATTAAAATTCTTCATCGTTCAATATAGGCTCTCTTCTATCTCCTTTCACTGTATGACTTTTCTGGAGAACTTCATTAAGGTTCTTGGTTTCAAATACCACTTACATGCTAGTGATTCACAAATTTGTATCTCTAACTTTCTCTGAGTTCCAAAGATAGAAGGTGGATACAAAGATAGATATTTGGCTAGTAGATATCCCATCTTGCATGCCTCAAAAGCATCTCAAAATGAACATATTTAGATTCAAATTCATGACTCTTGAGAATTCCTTAGTCTTGTTTTCCTTCCAGTGTTCTCTATCTTCTGAAAATCAGAATCCTAGTAACCCGTCTACACTTCTCTCTCCCTCACCTCCCACATATAATGCACTACCATGTCCCGTTATTTGGCCTCTGAAATAAATTTCTACAATCCATCTACTTCGCTCCATTTTCACCACCATCCTGGTCAAGGTACAATTTCTCACCTAAAATTTATAATAACCTCCTAAATAAACAGCAGTATCTTATCTCTCTCCAATCTGTGCTCACTCTGCAGCAAGAACGTTCTTTTGAAAGGAAAAGCTGATCATATCATGTTCTTATTAAAAACCATCAACTGCATCCACTGTTTTTAAGATAAGAGTAGAACTAAAGTCTCTTTTGGTCTACAAGTTTGCCTCGCCGCCATTTGCTCATTCCATTTCCCCTCTTTCTTTCCGCTCCAAATGCATTGGCTTGTTTTGTCCCTTATAAACTCTTGCTTTTCTTTGTCATTGGGCCTTTGTCTACATTATTTTCATCACCTGGAGTTCCTTTTTCTTATTTCTTTGCCTGATGCAATCTCTCTTTTATCTGGATCCTTTCCTCTTAATTTCCCATATATTAGCTCAAATTTGACTTCCTTAAGGGAGCCTTTCTCCTGCCCTGAATTAGATCAAATCTCTTTTTATTATACCATGTATTTCTCTTTTGTAGTTTTTTTGTAGGTATGTAATTTTTTGGTGTATATGTAGAAATGTACAACTTGCAGTTGTATGTTTATTTACATGATTACTTATGTTTCTTCTTACTAAATCATAAGTTCCATGAGGTCAAGGGTTATGAATGTTTTGTTCACCAATTGTCCTCAGCAGCTAGTACATACTTGACACTTTGTAGAACATATAAAATAACTTACTACTGTGACTTATGCAAGACATTTTGGCAGCAAAGGAAAGTACTGATTATGCCAGTGTTCTAGAAATTCAATATTAAGTGGCTTGAACTTATGCTGATACATTTTTAATGATATTTTTATGATGTCTCTTAGGAGATGACTCAGGACAATCCATATGCAGTCCCCATCCTCCAATTTGAAATTTTAAAAATTTCTATTTTTCGAATTAATCCTATAGTCTAGTATTAGAAAAATTTTTTGGAGGTTATAGGTGGCAAATAATTTTTCACACTGAATCTTAGAGGAAGTCCATGATATTCTCCATGTAAACTTACAGTTACAGGAGACTCTCCAGGCTTCAAATGGTCCTGATACACAATAATTGCTCTAAACAACATTTTCCTTAGATCCTCATCATTTAATTTTTACTCCTCCATAGTGTGGAAATTATAATTCTTTCTCATCTAAAAGGCTATCTTCATAAGGCTTTTTGCACTCCAATATGATATGTGAACTATTTATACATATATGAAATATATGTAAATATATTTACAGTTAAGTTTTATATTTAGATATAAATATATCATATTAAAATATATATTATATCAGATATACTTATTACATAAAGATAAATTATATTTAGTATAAATATGTGTGAATTTGTAGTGTATATAATGATATGACATATAATTATGAGAATGAATTGGTGATAAACAGGTGTTGGTAAATGTGTGAGGTTAACCAGGAACCAGGGAATCTTGTTGTGTTATTTTTTAGCTGAAATTGTACACTCTGTTTAGAGTTAGGCATAGGGAGAGTATGTATAAAACATTCTTATTCATTTTTCTTACTATTGTGTAGAGTTAAACATACATACAAAGCATTTATGAAGCAAGACAGTATACATACCTAATTCCTGGCAGAGTAACTAGGTGCTTATAGGAGTTTAAATTTAAAAGAGGAATCACAATTACCTGCCAACAATTTAATAAAAGCAGTGAAACATTTTAATCTTGAAGATTTCCCATTATTTTTTAAAAGATATAATGTTTTTGTTAGAGAATCAGTATAAACTTTTTGTAGAAATTTAGAAAATTTCAGGCAAAAATAAACACACATGCAAGTCTACTGGATAAAAGTAATCAATATTAACATTTTTATATATTTCTTTACCCAAAAGGGTAGTACAGAATATTCTGTCTTATAAATTGATAGTATGGATTAATTTCCATGCCAATAAATATTCTTCCATAACATACTCTTTTATGGCTATATATTTATCTCTTTTGTGGATAAACCATGATTTCTTTAAATAGTCATGTAATGATGGGCACCTGTTTTGCTATTATAAACAATAAATGTGATTAGCTAAATGGTTAAAAATTTAGGGGGACATGTCAGGGGATATAGACAGGAATACTCAAGATGTTATATAGGCTGAGCTGAGAAACACAGATGACTCTATCTTGGGAAACTTTAAAAGTACATGAGCTTCCCTATGGCAGAGCAAAGCCATGCAAATTGCTCAGATTGGATTAAGTGCAGGCTAAATATTTTGTGCTAACAAAAGTCTAAAGTTAAGGAAGGCAATATAGGAATAAAGTAATTAAGAATGATAACTATAGATTCAGACTCTATGGATAAAATTCCTAGCTTTCCCACTTACTATCTGGTGATACGGAGCAAGTCATTTCATTCCTCTGAGCCTCAGTTTCCTCAGATGAAAAATGAGAATAACTATGCCTAGCTAACAAAGTTGTCATAAAGATTGAGATGATGCATGTAAATGATAATCATGGTGCTTAGGATACACTAAATGTGTACCAAATGTTATCTATTGTTATTATTTTGAGACACTTTGAAAACATATAAAACAAAAATTCTGAAATGCAAATCCTAAAATGGTACTAAACATGAGTCTCTATAAACTTTCAAAAAGAAGATGACTTTTGTATATCCTAACACTTAAGATTATGGATTTGTTTTCTCCATGAGTTATAAGTTCCTTCCTCCGAGGGCTATGAGAGTCATCCCTGCTCTTGTTTCTTGTCTGCACACTCAGAGACTATGAATTTCTAGGCAGCGCCCACTCCACCCTCCACAAGCATTTATTGAAAACAAACACATAGTACTTGGCTGCAATCTTCTAGTTCTTTCAAGAACAAACAAATTAAGAGAGATTTGGTCAATATCAATGCTCTTAACCAGAAATCTATCTTAAGAAATATCTGAACTTTAATAAAAATGTACATTTACTTTTCTAGGGTTAGTGCCATAAAGATTAAATGAATATGCAGAGGGTCTTAAAAGGGTCTTAGTCCTTTTATGTTAAAAGCATTCTCAATCTGATGAAAGTAACACACACACACACACACACACACCATCACACAAACATACAACCCCTAAGTCTAATTGTTGCATGAAGAATCTCTGAGAATTTTGTGTTTGGGGGAAGTCCAAGGCAGGAGTGATGGTATGTGTCAGATACTCCTACTTCCTACCTAATACAAAATCCTGCTAAGGAATATTGACAGTTTAAAGTAGAAGCAGAACGTTTTTGTGCAAAAAGCACTTGCTATTGCTTCTTCTAATATCTTGGATATTTCTTAGCATCTCTGAGCTGCATTTTTTCTTATCTTGAGAAAATAAATAATGTAAGTGAGCTTTGGGTATTTTTGAAGCTTAAATGAGTAATATGTATGGAATCTCTCAAGTAGTTCCTTAATATACTACATTTTTACTCATTTCTATATAATCACATTATCAGAGCTAATCCTGGGGTAGAATTTATAGCAGATACTTGCCTGTTTTGCCTCTTTTGAGGAATTTGGCTTATGCTGAGCCAAGAAGATAAATGTGTATTTGGAACACAGATACTCTAAGTGTCTGAGGCCCTTGAACTGGGAGATCAGAGAGCATGTAGAGAGGAGTTAGATCATGTTTAAGTAAAATAAATTGGCCTATGGAAGAAAAAGAAAGAGGCAGTTGTCCAGATAGAAGCTGAGATGAGAAAAACATGAAGCACTTGACAGACCAAGAAAGTGAAGAAGTTCCTCAACTTCTATTTCATGTTCTAGCTACCAGTGAAACCTTTTTAAACTTCCTCTTTTTGCATGGTATCACTGATGTTTTTATTCATTTATTACTGTATCCATCAGCACCCAACAAAGTGAAATAATGACCAGATAGATACAGTCCTTATAGAGCCTACATACATATCTGTGTTTTATTTCAATGATATCTCTTTCCTACTGATAACATCCTGTGTGTGTTTGGCTTCTCGCAACGGAACTGATTAAAACCCTGGGCAAAGTTAGAAAGCAGATGATACCATGTTCTTATAGAGAATCACACTGAAGTCCGTATTATTTAATGTCCAAACGTGGGCTACTCCATCTTCCCCTTCAATGACACAGCAAGTCTTTCCAGATCTCTCTACTTTCATTCCCTCTGTTTGCGGTAATTTCATACATTTTTTTTCAATAGGTTTTTAGGGGAACAGGTGGTGTTTGGTTACATGGATAAGTTCTTTAGTAGCAATTTTTGGGATTTTGGTACACCCGTAACCCAAGCAGGGTTAGTCTTTTATCCCTCACCCCCACTCCCAACCTTCCCCTAAGTCCCCAAAGTTCAACATGTCATTTTTATGCCTTTGTGTCCTCATAGCTTAGCTCCAACTTGTAAGTGAGAACATATGATGTTTGGTTTTTCCATTCCTCGGTGACTTCACTTACAATAATGGTCTCCAGCTCCATCCAGGTTGCTGCGAATGCCATTATTTCCTTCCTTTTTATGGCTGAGTAGTATTCTATGAGATGTGTGTGTGTGTGTGTGTATGTGTGTGTGTGTATATATAACTATATATATATATACAACTATATATATATAACTATATATATAACTATATATATATAACTATATATATAACTATATATATAACTATATATATATAACTATATATATAACTATATATATAACTATATATATAAAACTATATATATAATTATATATATATATATAACTATATATATATATAATTTTATCCACTCATTGATTGATGGGCACTTGGGCTGGTTCCATATTTTTGCAATTGCAAATTGTGTTGCTATAAACATACATTTGCAAGTGTCTTTTTCATATAATGATTTCTTTTCCTCTGGGTAGATACCCAGTAGAGGGATTGCTGGATCAAATGGCAGATCTACTTTTAGTTCTTTAAGGAATCTCCGTACTGTTTCCCATAGTGGTTGTACTAGTTTATATTCCCACCAGTAGTGTAAAAGTGTTCCCTTTTCACCACATTCATGCCAACATCCATTATTTTTTGATTTTTTAAATTATGGCCATTCTTGCTTGAATAAAGTGATAATGCATTGTGGTTTTGATTTGCATTTCCCTGCCCATTAGTAATGTTGAGCATTTTTTATATGTTTGTTGGCCATTTGTATTAATATCTTCTTTTGAGAATTGTCTATTCATGTCCTTTGCCTACTTTTTGGTGGGATTATTTGTTTTTTTCTTGCTGATTTGTATGAGTTCCTTTTAGATTCTGCATATTGGTCCATTGTTGGATGCCTAATTTGTGAAGATTTTCTTCCACTCTGTGGGTTGTCTGTTTACTTTGCTGATTATTTCTCTTGCTGTGTGGCATCTTTTTACTTTAATTCGGTCCTATCTATTTATATTTGTTCTTGTTGCATTTGCTTTTGAGTTCTTGGTTCTGAAGGCTTCACCTAAGCCAATTTCTAGGAGGGTTTTTTTCCGATATTATCTTCTAGAATTTTTATGGTTTCAGGTCTTAGATTTAAGTCTTTGATCCATATTAGGTTGATTTTTATATAAGGTGAGAGATGACTGTCCAGTTTTATTATTCTACATGTGACTTGCCAGTTATCCCAGCACTATTAGTTGAATAGGGTGTCCTTATCCCACTTTATGTTTTTGTTTGCTTTGTCAAAGGTCAGTTGGCTATAAGTATTTGGTTTTATTTCTGGATTCTCTTGGGTTCCATTGGTATAAAGATGTGCCTATTTTTATACCAGTACCATGTTGTTTTGGTGACTGTAGCCTTATAGTACCCACTCAGACCACAGTGGAATAAAATTGGAAAGCAGGCCAGGCACAGTGGCTCACGGCTGTAATCCCAGCAATTTGGGAGGCCGAGGTGGGCAGATCACAAGGTCAGGAGATTGAGACCATCCTGGCTAACATAGTGAAACCCCATCTCTACTAAAAATACAACAATTAGCCAGACATGGTGGTGTGTGCCTGTAGTCCCAGCTGCCTCAGGGAACCCTCAAAACCATGCAAATACATGGAAATTAAATAATCTGCTCCTGAGTGATTGAAGGATCAACAATGAAATCAAGATGGATATTAAGAAACTCTTTGAACTGAATAATGAGAGTGGTATTACCTATCAAAACCTCTGGGATACAACAAGAGTGGTGCTAAGAGAAAAGTTCATAGCATTAATGCCTATATCAAAAAGTCTGAAAGAGCACAAATAGACAATCTAAGGTCATACCTCAAGGAACTATAGAAACAAGAACAAACAAAACTCACAGCCAGCAGAAGAAAAGAAATAACAAAGATCAGAGCAGAACTAAATGAAATTGAAAAAAAAAACAAAAAACAAAAACAGAAAACATAAATGGAACAAAAAGCTGTTTCTTTGAAAAGATAAAATTCATAGACCATTAGTGAGATTAACCAAGAAAAGAATAGAGAAGATACAAATAAGCTCAATTAGAAATGAAACAAGAAATATTACAACTGATACTACAGAAATACAAAAGATCATTCAAGGCTACTATGAACACCTTTACACGCACAAACTAGAAAACCTAGAGGAGACGGATAAATTCCTGGAAAAATACAACCTTCCTAGATTAAACCAGGAAGAAATAGAATCTGAACTGCCCGATAATAAGCAGTGATACTAAAATGGTAATAAAAAATTGGCAACAAAAGATGTCCAGGACCAGATGGATTCACAGCTGAATTCTATCAGACATTAAATAAAGAATTGATACCAATTCTATGGAAATTATTCTAAAAGATAGAGGAAGAGAGAATCCTCCCTAAATCATTCTTTGAAGCCGGTATCTCCCTAATACTAAAAACAGGAGAGGACATAACATCAACAACAACAACAAAAAAAAACTACAGACCAATATCCCTGATGAACATAGATGCAAAAATCCTCAACGAAATATTAGCTAACTGAATCCAACAGCATATCAAAAAGATAATCCACCATGATCAAGTGGGTTTCCTACCAGGGATACAGGGATAGTTTAATATATGCAAGTCAATAAATGTGATACACCACAGAAACAATTAAAAACAAAAATCACATGATCATCTTAATAGACGCAGAAAAAAAATCATTTGACAAAATCCAACATCCCTTTATGATTAAAACCCTCAGCAAAATTGACATAGAAGGAACATACCTTAGGGTAATAAAAGCCACCAATGACAAACTGACTGCCAACATTATACTGGATGGGAAAATGTTGAAAGCATTTCTCCTGATAACTGGAACAAGACAAGGATATCCACTTTCACCATTTCTATTCAACATAGTAGTGGAAGTCCTAGCCAGAGCAATCAGATAAGGGAAAGAAATAAAGGGCATCCAAATAGGTAAGCAGGAAGTCAAACTGTCACTGTTTGCCAATGATATGATCATATACCTAGAGAACCCTAAAGACCCATCCAAAAATCTCCTAGATATGATAAATAAATTAAGTGTCAGGATACAAAATCAATGTGCACAAATCAGCAGTGCTGCTATACATCAACAGCAACCACTCTGAGAATCAAATCAAGAACGCAACCCGTTTTACAATAGCTGCAAAACAAAATTAAAATCTGGCCAGGCACGGTGACTCACGCCTGTAATCCCAGCACTTTAAGAGGCCAAGACGGAAGGATCACTTGAGGTCAGGAGTTCAAGAGACCAACATGATGAAACCCCGTCTCTACTAAAAATACAAAAATTAGCCAAGCGTGATGGCACATGCCTGTAATCCCAGCTATTCGGGAGGCTGAGGTAGGAGAATCACTTGAACTCGGGAGGCAGAGGTTGCAGTGAGTTGAGATCATGCCACTGCACTCCAGCCTGGGCCACAGAGCGAGACTCCTTCTCAAATAAATAAATAAATAAATAAATAAATAAAAATCTTTAGGAATACACCCAACCAAGGAGGTGAAAGCCCTCTACAAGGAAATCTACAAAGCACTGCTGAAAGAAATTATAGATCACGCAAAGAAATGGAAACACATCTCATGCTCATGGATGGGTAGAATTAATATTGTGAAAATGACCAGACTGCCAAAAGCAACCTACAAATTTGGTGCAATTTCCATCAAAATACCACCATCATTCTTCACAGGACTAGAGAAAAACAATCCTAAAATTCATATGGAACTAAAAAAGAGCCCACATACCCAAAGCAAGGCTAAGCACAAAGAACGAATCTGTAGGCATCACGTTACCCGACTTCAAACTATGCAATCCCATACACTTTCTCAACAATTTCTCCCCTCCTTACCTCCCACACTCCTTCCTGATACATTTACTGAGTTAATGTAAAGATTGAATTATTTAGTTAGCCCTATTGGCTGCTACACGTATTCCCTCTGGTTCAAGGTGGGAAAGAAAAAGCAGGAGAATAAAAGAGAGGTATTAGGATCTAAAATTTACCATATAATATGGTAGCCACTAGCCAAATTTAAATTAATTAAAACCAAATATAATTAAACATTTAGTTCTTCAGTAGCACTAGCCACATTTCATGTGTTCGATAGACACCTATGGCAAGTAGCTACCAAGTAAGATATAGCATAGATTATAGATCGTTTCATTTTTGTGAAATACTCTATCAAGCAGCCCTGAGACAGAACATAATAAACATCAGCCTTATTTCCCACCTGTATTTCAATTAATTTAAGGACTATTACAACATAGTCAGAAAATGGAATATCAAAATACCATTACTATTATTATGGATAAACTTGATATTAGAGGATATGGTTTTTGTCTGTGGGCAAATATGCTTATCTATCCAGATTTACCCATACAGACAGGGTAAAGATGAACTGGGACAGCTTTCCTTATTGGTAGAGAGATAGAGCCTACCATGGAAAAATGTCTGAGACTTGTGGAAGGTGATCCAACAAGGAAGAAAAGTCAACTAATTTGTTTTACCCTAATAACATCAATCAGACTGTTCACTCAGCTCTTTTGGAGCAGAATGAGCAAAGTAACAGAACCAGAACATCACAATCACCAATCTCCTTTCCTGTGGAAGAAAACAGACTTGTAGAAATGATGTCCCTTAAAGAGAAGATAAAACAATACCCCCAGACTTTCATTATCTAGGATAAATTGTAAGTTCTTTGGGACTCTAGGATGAAATCTTCCCTAGCAGTGTGTCTTGAGATGCAATTTCCATCAAAATACCACCATTGTTCTTCACAGAACTAGAAAAAACAATCCCAAAATTGATATGGAACTAAAAAAGAGCCCTCATAGCCAAAGCAAGACTAAGCAAAAAGAACAAATCTGGAGGCATCACGTTACCCGACTTCAAACTATACGATCCCATACACTTTCGTAAGTTTCTCCCCTCCCTTAAATAGAAGATAAAATAGTACCCCAGACTTTCATCCTGTATGATAAATTGTAAGTTCTTTTGGGCTCTAGGATAAGATCTTCCCTAGCAGTGTGTCTTGAGATAATGATTCTTTTAAGCTCTTAAAGTGGTGGATGAGGTAGCCAGCACTTCTGGATAATTGTTATCTGCTTCTAAGCTACTTCATCCTGGGCTTTATTCCACTTTGAAAAAAAAGTTTAAAAAGATTGGTTGATCATGAAACTATTCTGTGTGTGACAATGAGAAAAGCCATTAACATGGCACCCAACATCTTTCATTAAATCCAAAGGCCCTCTATATTCTATCTCTCTCTCTATAAGACCTTCCCTTTCCTTCCTTTCCCTTCCCTTCCCTTACCTTACCTTACCTTACCTTACCTTCCCTTCCCTTCCCTCCTCTCCCTTCCCCTCCCCTCCTTTCCTCCTTTCCTCATTTCCTTTCTTTCCTTCTTTCCCTCCCCTTCCCTCCCCTTCCATCCCCTTCCCTCCCCCCTTCCCCCCCCTTCCCTTCTTCTTCCCTCTCCCCCACCTCCCTCTTTCTTTCTCTCCCTCCCTTCCTCCTCCATGGTACCTGTTTTTTGTATGTGCAGATAGCCTTTATGTCAAACTAAAATTTGTTTCTGGGAATGGCTTATCTAGTATTGGGCCATTTCTTATAGTTGACATATTTGGTTTTATCTTCAGTACTCTGACCAATCAGAGTGTAATTTTTGTTCTTCCTTTCTTGGTTCCATATAGTGGCTCATAGCAAAGATTGCCACACTTTTCTTCTTCCACAAGCATGTTCCTCCCTCTTATTTTGGACTACCAGCTTCTTCTAGAACCTGTGGTAAGAATAACTTGTTATAAAATTAATTCAGAAGCATCCATTTCTGAATTATTTATCACAATATATGGCACTTTAAAATTTATCATCTTATCTTTTTCTCTGTTTTATACTGCAACCTTTTTAAGTGTAACTACATTCTCTTATAAGTATGTCCTCAGAGTTCTAACATGAATCAGATGAACATTAATTAAATTATGAATTAAATTAGACTAGGTGGTTTTAGACAATTTGAGACACCATAGCAGTGATAGACTTTGAGTCCCATTAGGATTTTAATATGCCCCTTTAGTCAAAAATTGCTTCTGGAGCTAGACTGACTAAATTGAATCCTGGCTTCTTCATCTACAAGGTGTATGACCCTGGACCACTTACTTAAGCTCTCATATTCCTCACACTAAATTAATGATAATGTTGCCTATTTACCGCATACAGTTGGTAAGTTTAATTGAGCCTATCGTGTAGAACATGATGAGGGGCACACTGGAGATGCTGAAAAAGTAGATTATTTTGTTTCGTTGAACAATTTACATATACATATTTAAAATCATTTTAAGATTGCCCTATTATCTCTAGTTCCTCAGGTGTGAATTCCTCGCCTTAGTGGCCTATGGATTATATTCCTTGATGATAGACTGCTTTTTGTGTTTTGTAACTTTTGCCTTAAGCACATCTTCTGTGAAAGTTGTCTTTCTTGGAGACTAAGCATACCTTCAGCTGTGGAAGCTTTCCTAACAGATGGGTTTTTATAGCTGCTACAGCCTGGCCTCTATGTTAGTCTTTCACCTCAGGGACTTTCTACAGCTCATTACTCACCCTTATTCATGGCAGTCTAAGGATTCTGGTTTTATTTATTTTTTTTGGTGGGGTTGGGGGTGAGGGGAGAGATAAATCTGTTTTTGATTGATCACAGTTTCATGTAGGCCAATTGCCTCTTGTTTTCCCCCAGGACTAGTGGGGTAGAGAATTTTTAATTCTTCTTCCAGATTGGGCAGAGATTTTCTTCTTTTTTATGCCAGTTACCAGCTATGTAATCTTGGGTAAGTTAATTTACCCTTTCCTACTCCAGTTCCTTCAAGGTGAGGTATAATAATAGTATATATCTCATAGGTTTTTGTGAGGATTAAATAATTTGATATACATAAGGTGCTTAGAGTGGTGTCTGTAATATATTAAATGTTATTTAATTGTTACTTACTACTGTTATTCTTATGTAGACAATAAACCTCAGCCCCTATCATATTGAGAATGTATATTATCTTGGATGTATTAGATTCATCTTTATGACTATATTTTCTACTTGCCTTTTTATAAATTGAATTTCTGTTTTAACGTTTTTGCTCTTGAGTGTATATATCTATTTTAAAATTTAAAACACCTTTACCAAGTATTTATTTATGTTTGGAGAGTGTAAGTGTGTGTTAAAGGTAGGTCAAGTAGATGGGAAGAATTCCTATATCAACTTAGTCTACTATCTTGACCCAAAGTCATAGCTTCTGATACTTGTTCTTATTACAGATGTTCTTTTTGTTATTATTACTGGACTCGCCTCATCTCTAACACTGCAAAGTATGTTGTATGAGTTAGGATTCTTTACATCATAAGTCACACACACACACACACACACACCCCAAACCAAAATGCCTTAATCAAATAGGGAATTTATTAGTTCATGTAACAAAGTCAAAAGGGAGATTATTAACTCAGCTATATTTGGACTCAAAATATACCACAATTCAGATTTTCTTAATCTTTAAAGTCTGTTTCTGTGAATTGATTTTTTTGTCAACACACACTTCTTGCATATCGTGACAAATGGTAGTAGTATTCTCAGCCTACATTTAAGCATGTTTAAGCACAGTGGCATCTCAGAAAATTATCATTATATTTCATTGATCTTATTGGGTTAGGATCCCATTACTCAGGAAATCAGTGTGAGGTAAGTGAAAGTAATTTGAACAACAATAAAGGAAATTAATGAATCTATAAACTGATTATTTGAAAAGATAAATAAAATTTATAAACATCTAGCTAGCAGGTCAAAAAAGAGAGAGAGAGAAGATAAACAACATCAAAAATGAAAGAGGGGATATATCTTCAGATCCCATAAACATTAAAAGGATAGAAAGGAAGTATTATAAACAACTTTATGCCTATTCGTTTGATAACTTTCATGAAATGGACATCAAAGTTTTTTGTACTAATACCACTAGGCAGCTTCTCAAATTACTGGTGCATTAATTTGTGAAGTTAAGATAAAAAGGTTCTCTCCTGTGTTTACAGGGCAACTTATAAATCCAGTATTAGAGCATTTGAAGAATGTGTAATCCCCTTCTCCTTTCCTGGATTATCTCTTAGCAATATATATTTCTGTGAAAGAAAATTTCTCTCATGTTCAGTGACATCTTTTCTGATGTCACTTTTTTCTTCAGAAACTGTTTTCATTAAGCTGGTGCTCTTCCTATTGATAATGTGCTTGTAAGAACTGTTTGTAATAAAGGTTTATAATAACTGATGAGGGATACCATATTGTATATTATTGATTTTATTATGTTCACCATCATTGTTCTGAAGTTTTGAAATATTTATTTTCCAAAATTATAACAAGGAATGTATATGAGTAAAATTTTTTTTCTGTCCACGACTGCCACCATCTTGTTAAGCCACCATTTTTATTTGCTTTTCTCCCAGGTTCTCCCAAATCCTCTCCACCACCTACCATCAACCCTTGAAAACCTTACTACTATTATCTCTTGCAAAGCAAGCTAACTCTTTTTAGTTCATATGGCTTTATCTTTATCCATTCAGTGTCTTTTTTGATGTAAGTAGTCAACATCTGATGCTGAATATAAGGAATGCAGTTTATATTTTCCTAAGTTGAAAAAAAGTCCTTACTTTGAGTTACTTTTCTTCAAACCTAGAAAGATATTTTTATTTAAATAGGGTAATTGAAGTGGTATTTATTTTGGAGTCCAGCAGGGCTTTGAGGTATTTAAAGAATAAGATAATAAAATGATCTAGGAAGTTAATAAATTGTAATTACCTCTACTCTCCTAAGAGTAGAGGTCTTATTTTAATGTATAAAAGTTGGTCCAGTGTAACAATTGTGTGAATAATGGTGATAGTTGATATCTGTTATTACTTGGTCTTGTATTTTAACATTATCTCTTAAACATTTTCCAGAATGGAAAAGAGCATATTTCTATTATTTCCTGTATTTCCTTTTGCTATGAAATGTAAAAAAAAAATACAAAGACAAAATAATTGTTATCCAAAATTAACCCTTATTAATGTTTTATTATATTTTCTTCAAGTTTCTTTTTTTGAAATTTTACATTCAAGGTTACATGTGCAGGATGTGCAGGTTTGTTACATAGGTAAATATGTGCCATAGTAGTTTGCTGCTTCATGTGTGTTGTTCTCCCTGTGTCCATGTATTATCATTATTCAGCTCCCCCTTGTAAGTGAGAGCATGTGGTGTTTGGTTTTCTGTTCCTGCATTAGTTTGCTGAGAATAATGATTTCCAGCTCCATTCATGTCCCTTGCAAAGGACATGATCTCATTCCTTTTTATGGGTGCATAGTATTCCATGGTGCTTATGTACCACATTTTCTTTATCCAGTCTATCATTGATGGGCATTTGGGTTGACTCCATGTCTCTGCTATTGTGTATAGTGCTGCAATGAACACATACCTGCATGTATCTTCTTGTAATTTTTATTTTTTTTAATAATAGAATGATTTACACTCCTTTGGGCATATACCCAGTAATAGGATTGCTGGGTCAAATGGTATTTCTGGTTCTAGATCTTTGAGGAATTCCCACACTGTCTTCCACAATAGTTGAACTAATTTACATTCCCACCAACAGTGTAAAAGTGTTCCTTTTTCTCCGCAGCCTCACTAACATCTGTTGTTTCTTGACGTTTTAATAATCACCATTTTGACTGGCATGAGATGGTATCTCATTATGGTTTTGATGTGCATTGCTCTAATGATTACTGATGTTGAACTTTCTCTGATATGATTGTTGGTCGCATGTACGTCTTCTTTTGAGAAGTGTCTGTTCATGTCCTTTACCCACTTTTTAATGGGATTGTTTGTTGTTTTCATGTAAATTTGTTTAAATTTCTTGTAGATTCTGGATATTAGACAAATGTCAGATGGATAGATTGCAAAAATTTTCTCCTGTTCTGTAGGATGTGTGTTCACTCTGATGATAGTTTCTTTTGCTGTGCAGAAGTTCTTTAGTTTAATTAGATCCCATGCCAATTTTTGCTTTTGTTGCAATTGCTTTTGATGTTTTTGTCATGAAATCTTTGCCCATGCCTATGTCCTGAAGGGAATTGCATAGATTTTCTTCTAGAGTTTTTATAGTTTTGGTTTTTACATTTAAGTCTTTAATCTACCTTGAGTTAATTTTTGTATAAAGTGTAATGAAGGGGTCCAGTTTCAATTTTCTGCATATGGCTAGCCAGTTCTCCCAGCACCATTTATTAAATAGGGAATCCTTTCCCTGTTGCTTGTTTTTGTCAGGTTTGTCGAAGATCAGATGGTTGTAGATGTGTGATCTTATTTCTGAGTTCTCTATTCTGTTCCCTTGGTCTATGTGTCTGTTTTTGTACCAGTACCATGCTGTTTTGGTTACTGTAGCCTTGTAGGATAGTTTGAAGTCAGGTAGCATGATGCCTCCAGGTTTGTTCTTTTTGCTTAGGATTGTCTTGGCTATAGGGGCTCCTTTTCAGTTCCATATAAATTTTAAAATAGTTTTTAAAATGTCAATGGTAGTTTAATGGAAATAGCATTGAATCTATAAATTACTTTAGGCATTATGGCCATTTTCACAATATTGATTATTTCTATCCATGAACAGGGAATGTTTTTCCATTTGTTTGTGTGTTCCCTGATTTCCTTGAGCAGTGGTTTGTAGTTCTCCTTGAAGAGGTCCTTCACTTCTCTTTTAGCTGTGTTCCTAGGTATTTCTCTTTGTAGCAATTGTGAATGGGAGTTCATTCTTGATTTGGCTGTCTGCTTCTCTATTATTGGTGTATAGTAATGCTTGTGATTTTTGCATTGTTACATTGATTTTGTATCCTGAGACTTTGCTGAAGTTCCTTATCAGCTTAAGAAGCTTTTGGGCTGAGACGATGGGGTTTTCTAGATATAGGATCATGTCATCTGCAAACAAAGATAATTTGACTTCCTCCCTGCCTATTTGAATGTCAAGTTTCTTTAAGGTAAAAATCTCACAGATAATGTTCCTTTAGTTCCTTATTGTGAAGACCAACACAGTGTTTTAAAATACATATAAATGTATTATACTGTACCAATTTTTCTGCAACTTGCTTTTTTAATGAAAAATCATGTTTTATAAGTCTAACCACTGTGAGATATAGAAATCTAGTTCTTCTCTATAACTATTGCATAGAATTACCACATTTTCCTTACCCCATTTCTCTATTGATGATATTTAGCTTATTTCCAATATTTTGCTATTAAAAACAATACTATAATAAGAAAAGCAGGACTTCTTGCATAAAAGAAATATATATATAAAATTTTCAATTATACTAGATTTTGGCAGATTGTCCTCTACATTGTTCTATGTAATTGAACTTCCACTAGCATGAGTTTCCTTTTCCCCATGTCCTCCTTTAAACTTTATGTTATCAGACTTAATAATTTTAACTAGTCTCATGGGTGTGTGAAATAATACCTCACTGTGCATGTGTATGTGTGAGTGTTTTAGCATATTTTGGGAATTAATCTTTGTATTCTATATATTTTATAAATATTGCCTCCTGATTAATAGCTTACATCTTATCTTTAAATATGTTTTTTTAAATTTGAGTTTAAATGAACAAAAATTTGGCCATCTCTTTCTTAATGGTTTGTAATTTTTGCATGTTGTTTCAGAAATTCTTTTTTTATCTGAAGGGAACAACTTATTTTCTATGTTTCTCTTAACTTCTGTAGTTATATTCTTTTCATACAATAACTATTTCTTCCTTTTCTCCAATATTTTTTATGCCTCTCTCCATTCTGTGTATGGTAGGTTTCCCTTCAAGTTCATTTGAAATACTTTTAAAACACTTATAAATGAGTTCTCAAGCCTGAGTGTACAAACAAATTATTTTTCAATATCACAAGGTAATTTTCATTTCAAGACCTTTCTGCAGAAATGTTGGTGAGGGGATTGTTTCCACATTCCAGGACTTATGTGGTGCTGAGACATTGTGGCATATCTGGCCAATGAGTCATCTATCCAAGTGGGAATCCTAGAGACCCACCTTTCTTACTCAGTACTTAGCTATTCAGCCATACAGATCTTTCTTGAGACCACTCATGTTCTTGTCCTCAAGGCTTCTTCAAGGCTGTTGGCATCTATGGTCTATGGCAGAGCCAGGCTTCAGGCGTGGACATCATTCTACATCTTTGACACCATAATTGGGTAGTAGAAACTCTCCATGCCCGTGCAGGACTCCGTCTGCCTGGACCCATTACACAAATGTTCTTTACTGTCACTGATGATTTGCTGCCTTCCCTAAGCCACACTCCGAGAATCCTGTTCTGGAATCACAGCACAGGGCCCCTCTCTCAAAGACCCTACAATTTCTCTTTTTCATTGCTTCCTTACTATCTCTTCTATTTTCCTTTCCACCCAGGGGGTTCTTTTTCTAGTCAGGATGGGAATGGGCATGAGACACCATTTTTTTTCTTTTTTTTTTTTCTACACATTTTATTCTAAATCCTTAAAATCTCTCCAAAGGAATTTAAGTTTTTTGGAGCATAAAAGGCAGAGACTTTTAGGCTGCTTCTGCTTTGTTTTCTGACATATCCTTTCACTGAAGTGATGAATACAGAGCCAAGTTTGTGCCTGCATGAGGCAAGAGATAGTGGGAAATTACTGGAACAAAAAATTTAAAAAGGAAAACAGCCAACTTCTTTAAAATATTATCCTGCCATGCTCACATGTTATAATTTTAATCTTCATAGCTTTGATTTCTGTACTTTTGAATTACTGTTATAATTTGGTATATTTATATTGCCTCTGATTATTCAATTTAGTAGGAGCAATACTAAAAGTTCTCGTTTCTTTTCAGTCAGTCTAAGGTCTTGCTGTCTGCTGGCTGCCAGACCTGTACCTATTAAAATTCACATTTATTAATGCTCATGGTCTGCTTTTAGCCATTCTAATCACACTGTCCTTCCTGTCTTAGTTTTCTTTTACATCAGACTTTAAAACATGTCTCCATTTCCTACCATCAATCATTAGTTAAGCCTTGACTTGTTAAAACTTCTGTCTAAAGCATTATGTTAGTAAAATGATTAGACTGCAGGTCCATGTCTCTTATCATTAGCCAGAGTTTTTGCATCTGATCCCCACAGTGATCCAAATGCAGAATTGTTTTCCATGAGCTGTCGTGGAGAAGGAGGTCATTATGACAAAAGACTTCTGCCTAATTTATATAGTGAGGCATGCTCACTAATTGTGGCGTCAGAGCTCTGACCAGTTACCAATTGATTTCTATCAGTGTTGTGGGAGATGATAAATTTTAATCAGAATTTTTTGGTCTCTATTAGTCTGGCTTTTTAAAAAAAATAATGGATTTCTCTCATTCATGCTTTCCCTAGTCTGCATTTTTATGACTGTGATGTGCTTTGATTTACTTCATTCAAAGTATGATGCTCTGGCTTCAATTACTCCATTTAACTTTAAATAGACATTGCTACAAGTCTTACTGATACAAAGAACATCTGGTGTCAATAAATTGCAGCAGGAGGTGCCATGTGGGAAGGAACCCAAGAACTAAACACATCTCTGGGCACATCCTTCAGGACCATGAGCACACATATTGTGGCATTCTGCCACTTATCTTCTTACATGTTATCAGAGTGGAGCTCAGGGAGTTTGGGTCAGCATGGCATCATGATTTTCATTGCAACAACGTTTGACTCACTGACTTAAGCTCCAGACACAAAACATTCTGTTCAGTTGATAACATCTTTGGGGACGACTTTTGCTAAACAGGAAAGGCACAGAGAGCAAGGGACACTTTTTTTTTTAATGTCATGCACAGGGTGTTTAATGAAAGAGATTGTAAAAAAGTCAGAGTAAAGAACTCTATTCCTCATGTCCCCTCCTTGCCAACATGCACCAAACCCAAAGTGCTGAAGTCTCTACAAGGAAATATATTTATTCCTTGCTATTTGTGGGTTGATTACAGCCACAAATTTTAACAACTACCTTAAACTACCAGATACAAATAGTAGACTGTACAATTATTTAAATCATGAGAAACTTTTGCCTGATTTGAAGCCTAGAAAAGTAAATTCTTCTTTAATTATAAAAGTACGGATAGCATAGGAATAATTTACCAAAGATGTAACTGATATTTAAGTTTTATTCTGTACACAAGGTTTCTGAATCAAAGTTGTGCACTGCTAATCTAATCCTGGTAAAGAAGGGTGCTCTTCATCATACGTTGTATTTAAATGACAATAAGTGCAATTATTTATGGATCACAGAGCTGGAAAACAGACTTCTGTTTCTCAAAGTATCAAAGTGTTTTGATCTCATTTATCTCAGGAATCAGAACCCGGAACCCAACGTGACCAGACTCTCCTTGTCTTCACTGCTTGTTTCTGCTGTGCTTCTTGGATGCTCTCCCTGTGCTAGGGAAGCAGCTGACCACAGAGATCACATCCTCCCAGTTTTAACCACTCCTGAAGAAAGACAGTCCCCTTCCCCAGGGTCCATATATTGATCTCACAGAAGGACCCTGATTGGCTTTGTTTTGTGCTGTTCTCACCCTTGAATCAATCACGCTGCCAGAAAGGAAGGGCTCGTGATGGGCCAAGAACTGTTTTTGTGGTGAGGAGAGCGGGTTCTGTTTCCAGGAGGAGGGAGATGAGAAAGCTTACTGGGCAAAAGAAACAAACAAAAAAACCCCAAACCAATTAAACAAATACAAGCAATAGGTACTACCATCTGTAAACCAATTCTGGATAAAGATTTGGGGAATGGGTCTGAGAAAGGCATACATTTCAGTCTGGGGACATTTTCTTTGTTCTGTCTACCCAGAGCTAAAACACCATCGTAAGACAGGCCGTCATGTCCCACCACAAGGAAAGAGGAAATAGACATCTCTTCTGCATTTTGGGGGAGAATGAAATAGCAGCAAGAGAGAATGAGAATGTTCTGTAAAAGGCAAATACCAAAATAGGGTTAGACTGGGTCAGCACTCCCCTGAGTAAGTCCTCGCAGGATGATAAGAGGTAGTGTTAAGTGAGTAAAAGGAAGAAGATTAGGTTACACAACATTAGAAAGCTTTCCTTTTTGAAAGTTTTTATAGAACTTTTAACATACCGAATACTTTTGAGAATTTCAGAAGACAATATGGCATGCAGAATTTTGAAAACACGTTTAGGTAGAGAACTTTTTTATTTATTAAAGAAAGTGAAAAATTACGTAATTTTTATACATTGATTATCCTGCTATTCTACCAGTTTTTTTTTAATGTAAGAAAGCAATAAAGGCTGGGATTCCAAATCAGGGCTTTTATTATATGGTGGGTGTCTATGGGGCCAGAAAGCCCAGCCACAAATTCAAAAAACTTTCTGTACCTGCTGATCTTCCTTCCCTGTGATCACCAACAGATCCTACAAGAAGGGTCATTGGAATCATGCCACCTGAGTCATCCCAATTTGATGTACCCAAACTGATGAAATAAAAAGAAAACAATGCCATGAGAAGCATTGTAGCATCTGCTATGTAATAAAGACCTAATAAGTCATTCAATTTCAGGATTCAAAATCCAATGCCTAGAATACCTACACAGCTTCTCAGGAACAGGTGAGTTATCCATAAAACATATTATTTGACATGGAAGCTGAAGGCTCCATTCCTTCTGCATACCTGATTCGCTATCATTCCAGCTCATGTCAGAGCCGCCTGGAATCTTCGATATTGATTCAGAACATTTCATCTACACAGCAAAGTGGTCGAGGTTGGAGAAAGAGTGCTTAAAAGAGATAAAAATCTACTATCCTCCCACAACTTTCAGCAGAAACCAGTCGTTTCACTGTCTTTGGCTAATGAATATCACTGTATTTTAAATCAAGAAATAGTGTGTGAACAGAGTGTTGTGGTCAACTCTTTTCAACCTGTTTGTTTTACCTAGTTCTGTGACTTTGAAAGCAAGTTGCTTGTAATATTTTAATTTGTTTACCATTTACTTCCCTTTCTCCTCTCTTAATAGAATGAGGTTAGCTGATTAAATGGGAGAATTTGGCAGAAGGCATATTTGGTAGGGAAGGTTGAGAGAGAACAACATACTTTTCCTTCAAATCTGATGTCAAAAGTAGAGGAGGTTTTAATAGCCCAGGAAAGGCACAGTCTAAGAGTTCTCATATTCGAACTTTCAATCTCTTTAGAGACCAGATTCATAGACACAATACTAAGTTTTACCTACTCAGGAGAAGCAATTGGATTAGCTTTTCTAGAATGAAGAGGTTTTTCAGTTTGGGGTTGCTTCAATCTCATTCAAATTTCTTTGCTAAAACATATATGTCACTGAATAAGAGTTTATGTTTGAGGATCACCAATAAACTTTCAGAAATTGATACATACTTTTACATCTGCCACTCATATTTTCAAAGTTCATGTCTGGACAGTATGGTTAACTTAAAATTTGAGTTTCATTTACATGAAAATATTGTATGGTTTATAATACTAAGATCTAGAATCCACTCCTGTTACCATTTTTTAATCTTCTTATCTTGGACTAATTATTTCACCTCCTCAAATCCCAGGTTCTTCATTTGTAAACTGAGGTGAAAACAATATTTATTCCATTCACTCACAAAAATGTTGTCATACCTGAAATGTGTCCAACACATCAAAATGATAACTACCTGGCTGATAGACACCCTAGTACTCTGAGTTGATCATTACACAGTCTGTGCATATAACAAAATTTCACGTGTACCTTATGTACAAATATGATGCATAAAAATTTAAAAATTTGTCATAATCAAATGACATTTGTGATAGTTTGTATATTTTGAGATCTGCTACAAAATGTTGTGTTGGATATTAAGGCCACAATGATGAATGACAGACCCCTGAGCATATGGACTTTACGGGTGAGAATTATAGTATATTAGGAAAAATGCGGGAAGGGTATCTAGCAACTGCAGTATGTTAGAATAAATGTGGGAAGGATATATACAACAGTCTTCGAGGAGCAGAGAAGACTCCTGGGAGGTGGGGACACCTCCCGTGTGAGTTGAAAGATAGCTAGATAAATGAATTGGCAACATTTTTCAAGTGGAGAATATGCAAAGATTCAGAAAGGAGAGAGAACATGGCATTTTTAGGGAATAAAAAAAGAGTTCAATTTATTTGGAGCATTAGGTTTGGGGAATTGGGGTCGGAGAATGAAAGATACAGAATGAGAGGAGTAAATGAAGGCCAGATGATTTTAAACTATATATAGGAGTTTGGACTTTAACCTGATGGCAATAGCGAGTCAACATAAAATTTATTTCAAAAGTTTTGAATAGGAAATGGCATAAGCCATTTTATAAATGTGAGAGTTATTATTGGGCTTTCATTAATTATTTAAGTGATAGTATTCAGACAGCAACTCGATCTAGGTTAATCTGCAAATATTTAGAGATAGTTTTGGGGCAATGTCTTAATGTTACTAACAGTTCACATCTTTAGATGGTTCTCTTCTTATTTCCGTGTTGATCACACATTTCTGATAAACTTAACCTGCGTTTAAAGAAATGTGGAAAAATAATAAAAAAGCACAAAATAATTAAGAAACTCATAAGAAATTCAGGCATTTCTGGAGTTTCAGCAGAGCTGTTTGGTGATTCTCTCAACATTTCCATAAAAGATTAACTCTATTGGTGTTAATGAGTTCATAAGGCATCATAATTAATATGAGTTGCAAAGCAATCAATGCTCTGTCAAAAAATAGATATAACTTTTCAGGAAATGATCTGTTTGACCAATTGCCTCCAAATATCACAACTTAACTGAAGGAAGCATGATTAGAAGAAAATCCTTGACCAATTTTTGATTGTTTGCCCTTAGCCTGCATGAACTTATGATGTTATCTTAGGGAACTTGCTTGCCTTGTTGCTGGAATCCTAATCATTCCTTGATGATACTCTTCAGATTAAAGGAGATGTACCTATTAACTTGAAGAAAAGAGCTGTCCCTGTTAACATTGCTTCTTGGAAACATATGGGAACACTTCAGCAGACTGCCCAATTTCTCCTACTGCCTTGCTTTTGCAATAGTCAACTGTTTAACTTACATTCCAGCCATGATGTAGTAATAAAAAGGTAGGGCCAGGACATAATTGTATAAAATACAGTTCCTCATTAATTTCTCCTTTTGGGATAGAGACTTTCAAATATCAAAAACTCCTGTTCCATTATAGTTTCAAACAGTTCATTTAAACCTCCACATAAGTGAAATAGAGATACTTTCTTCCAAAATATGTGGCTATCTAAACACCTAACTATGGAAAAAATGTTGTTAATGAGATTTATGAACAAGGTATCATAACAAAATGAAAAGAAATGGGGAATGCTTGCATGTTAGTGAAATGGCCCAGGAAAGGATAGAGGAGTGGGAGTGAGAGAAAGGGAAAAGGAGAGGAGAGAGGAGGAAAGATAGAGTGATGTGACGTATTTGAGAAAGCAGATGGGGTCTAGAGCACAAGCAGAAGAACCAGCTTTAGATAGGAGTGTGATCTGTTATTCTATCCAGGGACAGTAGGCAAGAAGGCAGGATATATGAGTACTGATGCTGGAAAATGGGTAGTTTTAGATGTGGAAACATGTGGAAGTTGTCTTTCTGAATGCGTCTGTTTTATTAGGAAAATAAGTTGTGAGTTGAGGGCAAGAATGGAAAACAAAGTATTACTGATATGAGAAGGTTTGAAATAGTTATCTAGAAACTAGAAATGTGAATAGAGTAGGGAAATAAATTATGGTTACCAGGCATCTTGGCTTAAGAGGCATCTTGGGATTTGTAGTCATTAATGTTTCAGTATTCAGCAAGTTTGTGTTTTTCTTTTTTTTTCTTTTTTTTTTTTTTTTTTGAGACAGAGTCTCGCTCTGTCGCCCAGACTGGAGTGCAGTGGCGCGATCTCCGCTCACTACAAGCGCCGCCTCCCGGGTTCACGCCCTTCTCCTGCCTCAGCCTCCCTAGTAGCTGGGACTACAGGCTCCCACCACCACGCCCGGCTATTTTTTTGTATTTTTAGTAGAGGTGGGGTTTCACCGTGTTAGTCACGATGGTCTCAATCTCCTGACCTCGTGATCCACCCGCCTCGGCCTCCCAAAGTGCTGGGATTACAGGCGTCAGCCACCGAGGTTTGTGTTTTTCTCCAGCCATATTCCATTGCATGAGCACTGGGAACAACAACTGAATAATGTATCCCTAGGTGGGATTTTGCCCAATATGTAAAAATCTTCCAAAGATAGAGAAGGAAGTTGAGACAAATGCAAAGAAGAGATGATAATTATTAATCATAAAATTTAATGGACAAGTGATAGTATCAGATTTTAGGCACCAATGGTGCAGAAGGATCAGTGAAGTTACAGTACTAGATGGAGTACCCTGGACGGGTAGAAAGTTGGAGTTGGACAGTAAGACACTTGAAAATGAGATTCTGGAGAATTTTCAGTAATTGGTAAAGACAAGGGCAGGTATACAACCATGAAGGATCACTGGAAGTGAGGCAGTCAGGGAACTGAGAGACTAGGCTTTCAGTTGAATCATCTAGGTTCACCGTCAGCCCTCCATACCCATGGGTCTTGCACCTGTGGATTCAACCAACCACAGATAGGAAATATTCAGAAAAGAATGCATCAGTGCTAAACATGTAGAGAATTTTTCTTGTAATTATTTTCTAGACAGTGTGGTATAACAACTATTTATACAGGCTTTATCTTGCAGTAATCTAAAGATGATTTAAATTATATTGAAGGATGTTCATAGGCTATCTGCAAATACCATGTCATTTTATATAAGGGACTTGAGTATCTGCAGATTTTGGTATTCCAGGAAGATCCTGGAACCAATCCTTCTTGCATATTGAGGAACAGCTCTATGTGAAAGCCATTGTCCTAGTCTATTTGTGTTACTGCAAAGGAGTATCTGAGCCAGAGTAATTTATAAAGAAAAGAGGTTTATTTGGCTCACACTTCTGTTGGCTGTACAGGAAACCTAGTGCCAGCATCTGCTTCTGGTGAAGGTTTCAAGCTGCTTCCACTCATGGTGGAAGTTCTAGGAGAACAGACATCATGTGGCAAAAGAGGAAGGAAGAGATAGAGGAGGGAAGTGCCCCACTCCTTTTACCAGTCACATCTCCTGGAAACTAACAGAGCAAGAACTCACTATTGTGAGAACAGCACCAAAACATTCATGAGGGATCTGCTCCCATGATTCGAACACCTCCCACTAGGCCCCATCTCCAACACAGTGCATCAAATTTCAACATGAGATTTGGAAGGTTCAGATATCCAAACCATAGCAGTTACCAAAAATTAAATGGAAGTAATACCCGGGAGAGGTGCAGTAAGCTAGGAGCTAAGATTTTCAGCGAATGAGGAGTGTATTCCAGATATCAGTGAAAACATTTTAGGTGTGAATAGAAAATAAGCTCAATTTGCCACCTTTTTAAGGTTGTGGCTGCTCTAAGACAAGACAATTGAGATTTTTTAATTTTTTAGTTTGTCAGGGGGATTGTTATGAGGTGCTACAATATAGGCAGAAAAAAGAAAGATGTGTACAATATTATGTTTTTGAATGACTACTTGTCGAGGCTTTCTTTCTGAGAAACTGAACATAATTGGCTCATATATACTAAAAATTGTGTTATACGATTCTCACCTTTAATTTATTTCTAAAAAAATAAAGTTTCCAACGCATTAAAATAAACTTTATTTTTAGCGCAGTTTTAGGTTTACAGCAATATTGAGCAGAAGGCACAGAGACTTTTTCATATACTCCCTGCCTCCACACATACATAGTTTCTCCCATTAACATCTCTCACCAGATGTTGTATTTTTTACAATTCATAAACTTACATTAGCATATCATTATCTTCCAAAGTCCATAGTTTACACTGGGGTTCACTCGCGGGTTCATTCCATGAGTTTGGATACATATATCATGTGTACATCATTATAATATTATATAAATAGTTTTATTATCCTAAAAATCCTTATTCCTGTCTATTCATCCATCTCTCTCCCATCCACTGGCAACCACTGATCTTTTTACTGGATCCATAGTTTTGCTTTATCCATAATGTCATATATTTAAAACCATACAGTAATCGTAGCCTTTTCAGACTGGTTTATTTCACTCAGTAATAAGCATTTAAGGTTCCTCCATGTCTTTTCATGACTTGGTAGCTGATTTCTCTTTTGCTCTGTACTTCTCAAAATGATTGGTGTATACTTTTTTGTTTTTCAGTGCTCCTGATTGTTATTTATGTACATAGGTAGAATATGGCAAAATTGTATTTGCAGATTGAATATTTTCATAAAAGATTTAAAAAACGGCATTCTTATTTTTTCACATTTAAGCTTTCTTCAATTCAAAATGAAATTCAAGATAACACACAGAAATTCGGGATTTACATTAAATTCTGTTATCTGTCTAAGATAATTCTATGCTCTTGATTTAGTTAAATAGTTAAATAGTTTTCCCATTGCAGATTTTTATTAACTGATAGGTATATGTAAGCTGAACTTTATACTATGTCAGGTCCTAAATGGGCCATATTAATAAATGAGAGCTAAAAGAAACATATGTTCTCTTCCCTTGGTACTCACTTAATTGTTAAAGATTCAATAGCATCTTTAAAAGTCTTCAGGAAATAAAAAAAAAAAGTCTTCAGGAAATCATGATGAATTGAATTATTAACTTTATAAATGTATTTATTGTTCATTAAAATTTTTTGAAATGTAAACCCAGCATGTTGAATACTGAGTTAAAACATATATGAAGCTAATCTTTTCAAAAACCTTATTACAAAGTCTCAAGATGAAATTTTTTTCATCATGGTAATCTGAGAGACGCTGTAGAGTGTGGTGTTTAAAAGCCTTATTCTGGAATCCAAAGGTTTGGCTATAAGTCCTTGCTCTGCTAATTGTTAGATTTACCTTAGGCGTGTGATTCAAATTTTCCAATCTTAAATTTCCTCACTGTAAAATAGTGGTAATAAAAGAATCTATTTTATAGGGGTTTTAATTACAATTAAATAATCCATAAAAAGCATTTAGCACAATCCCAGGTATAGAGTAATGATATTTTGTCCTGCCCTCTTCCAACTTCAAGATTTCTCTTAAATCATATCCCATGCTTAGAACATTTTTTTCTTCTTTTCTATATACCAAACCACTTTTTACTCAGGAGGATCTCCTAGCAAGTTTAATTAATTGAAAATGGAGAGATTATTCTAGTGTTCATAAAAATTATTCATGTCAATTTAATCCTAAGGATTTTTAAAATAAATTATAAGATAAGTAGGTTACTTCTATGGACTAAATATTTGTGTCCCCCTTCCCCCAAATCCACATGGTATTAATCCTCAATCTGATGGTATTAGGAGGTGGGGCCTTTGGGAAGTCTGATGGTTTTAGGAGGTGGGGCCTTTGGGAAGTAATTAGGTTTAGATGAGTTCATGAGGATGGGGTCTCCACAATGGGATTAATACCTCTATGAACAAAAGAAGAGACTTGAGATCTCTCTCTTAGTGCATGCACCAAGGAAGGCCATGTAAGGGCATAACCAGGAAGATGCCCCTCACCAAGAAACTGACCATGATGGTACCCTGATCTCAGACTTCTAGACTTCAGAGCTGTGAGAAATAAATATTTGTTGTTTAACTCACCTAGTCTATGGCATTTCATTATGGCAGCCCAAACTAACCAAGATAGTTACTTGGTGGTATTTTATACACACAGTGATTTTGTTGGTGGGACAATATTTTGATGGGCATGGCAATCCTAGAAATTGGTGGAGCTCTACATCCCCTTACTTAACTATGTTTGATTTCCTATACAGGTATTCACACTGAAGACAAGTCACATGTGCTTCCAATTTTGATTGCCAGGGTATTTACACTGAGGAATTATTGTCAAATTGACCTGAAAGCAGTGGACAACATGTTTGTGGTCATCAATAAAAAGTGACTTATAAAGCTTCAGTAATAAACATAGTCTAGAACTACTTTAAAGCGGAAGCTGCCTTTCGCTGGAATGTTATTAAATTTTTGTATCTCTTAGGAAAAGCAGAGTTACTGATATCAATAGCCAAATTTGAATAGTTAGTAACTACTTAATGACATTTGTTGCTATTTGAAAACACCGGTATCCCATATGAGACAGAATGGTTGCTAGAAAGAACAGTGACCCAGGAGTGAGACCCAGGTGCCTACTTCATAGATAGCGGGCTGTAGGCCTGCCACTTCTCCTTCCTGGATCGGTTTGCTCATCTGTTAAATGAAGAGAATGGAGTCTCAGAAATCCTGTCCCAGCATTTCGTGATCCTCTGTTGTTAATTGTAGACTTTAAAGCTTGTGTGTCATTTGTTTGTCTCCTATTGCCTGCTATTAAGATGATTGAAGTATAAGAATATGTCATGTGTTTGTAGCCTGAATTGATTGACCTTGTGCAAGGATCTGGATGAAATTTTCAGTGAAATAATACTCAGTTTTCCCTTCCTGGAGCCTTCTTTATTTCCCACCTCTTTCCATGATGTTTCAGTCTGTCCTAGTTTTATGAGGTTGTTAAAAAATTCACTGTGAAAGATTAGGAGGAAATGATGAGGTCTTTGGTTGCTGGGTAACTGCTTTTTAACCATGATTCAATGTTTAATAAGATTGTTTTATCTGGTTCCAGGGTCTTCCCAGAATTTCACTGTTGCTGATTTTGTGTTCTTTTAAAGAAAAAAAAGAGTACACTTGCAAGTTTTTTTCCATGATGTTTCTTAAATTTATACTTATTTTAAAATGTTCTTCATCAAATATTTCAGCCTGATCAAGTCTTGTTCTTTTTTCTCTTGGTAAGAAGGATTTTATATAAAAAAATTAAAATAGTATATATCTATTCTCTCAAAGCAGTTCCAAAAACTAAATATAAAAAAAATAGTCTTTATAGTCTGTTTAAGCAGGTTTCAAAGTCAGCTCCTCCATTCCTGAAGTTTTTATTTAGATTATTTCTTTCTTATGGCATTTTAAACTTTTTTTCTTTTTAAAATTTTTGTTATTTGTATAGATTTAGGGGGTACAGTGCAATTTTTGTACATTGATATATTGCATAGTGGTAAAGTCTGGGCTGATAGTGTACCCCTCACCTGAATTGTGAACATTGTACCAATAGGAATTTTTCAACCATCACCAGTCTCCCGCCCTCCTCCCTTATGGAGTCTCCTACCCTCCTCCCTTATGGAGTGTCCAATGTCTATTATCCCTCTATGTCTGTGGGTACCCATTGTTTAGTTCCCACTTATTAATGAGAATATGTGGTATTTGATTTTTTTGTTTCTGAGTTATTTCACCTACGATAATGGCCTCAAGCTCTATCCATGTTGTGGTAAAAGACATGATTTCACCTTTTTATGGCTATGTAATATATATATATATATATAACATTTCCTTTATCCAATCATCCATTAATGGACACTTAGGTTGATTCTATAACTTTACTATTGTGAATAGTTATGCAATAAATATGAGTGCAGGTATCTGTTTGATATGACAATTTCTTTTCCTTTGAGTAGATACTTAGTAGTAGGATTGTTGGATTGAATTGTAGTTTTTTTTTTTTAGCTCTTTAAGAAATCTCCTTACTGTTTTTTCATAGAGGTTGTATTTATTTGCATTCCCACCAGGAGCATATAAATATTCTCTTTTCCCTGCATCGTCTCCAACAATTTTTTTTTTTTTTTTACTTTTAATAGTAGCCATTCTGACTGCTGTGAGATGGTATCTCATTGTGGTTTTGATTTGCATTTCTCTGATGATTAGTGGTGTTGAGTACATTTTCATATGATTGTTGGCTGCATGTATGTCTTCTTTTGAGAAATGCCTGTTCATGCCTTTTGCCCACTTTTTAATGGAGTTGTTTGTTTTCTTCTTGTTGAGTTGTATGAATTCCTTGGAGATTCTGGATATTAGTTCTTTGTCAGAAGCATAGTTTGCAAATATTTTCTGCCATTCTGTCAGTTGTCTGTTACTCTGTTGATTATTTCTTTTGCTGTGCAGAAGCTTTTTCATTTAATTAAGTTCCATTATTTACATTATTTCTTAAGTTGTTGAAATTTACTGTTGAATAGCATTTTCAAAGAAAAAATCATGGATGCTGCATTTCCTAAGTTTTTCAAAGCTTAAGAATACCTGCCTGTTGCCTTTATAATTAACGACAATCTACCTGGATATAATCTTTGAGTCACCAATTTTTTACTTCAGGAATTCTGTGGCAATAGCTTAATTTTATTCTGCCATTAAATTTGCTTTCGAGAAGGCTGAGGTCAGTCTAAATTTTTCTCTGTTGTAGGAATGTGTCTTTTTGCTGCCTCAATGCCTGAAAAATTTGTTTATAATCTTGGTTTAAAAAACCAGGAAATGTCTTGATGTTAATTGATCTTCATAAAATATTCTGATATATGGTATTATCTAACCATGTAAAGATTCAAAATTTAAGGAAAAAAATTCTAAATCATATTAATAAATACCTTTTTTTGTTTTGTTTATTGAATTTTTATATTTCAATAGTCCTAATCACCTCTGCCCTCTTGCTTGCTTGGTAAGACTGTCCCGCTCCTAACAGATCAATGAGCAAGCTCAAGGCATTGAAATTAAACTGTGCTTCTTACATTCACTATTGTCTGACAGGATCCCATTCAGAGAAATGATTTGCTCCCCAGGCATCCTCAACTCCATTATATGGATAAGAGGACAACCCAGTTTCCCATCACCATTCCTCTCCAACAATCATGGTCTTGAGTTTGCTATGACAAATCTCATTACGCCTTTTATTCCCATCTATAGTGCCACAAGCATTAATAAACTCCCAGATCATTCCATAGCTTTCTCATTTTGATTCCTAGAAGGTTCTATGTGAACCCATTTCTTGCCCCGTTTCACCTGTTCCCATCTCCTGAAATATTTCCATTGTGCTTATTTCAAATCCATAGTTCTTCATCAGCAAAATGTTCTAAGTACTTATACTCTTCCCTGAACGTTTGCTTCATGCTGATGTTCTCCCATAACCTAATTTTCTTTTGATGTTCTTTCGCCCTCTGAAGGTTTCGCAAGTGATAGTCTTTTGTTTTGTCTTGTTTTTTCCCCTCAAAACCCTTGAACCATAAATTTGTTTAAATCTCTCTTTGGGGAATATGTGATATGAGTGGGCCCAATGCAATTCCTAACTCATGGGTGGAACTCTCTTCTCCCTTGGCACAAACAGGCACCTTAAAGATTTATATCCTTAGTGTTACTTGGCCTGGTCTGTATTTTCTGTTTATAAGTCTGAATGCTTTATTTCCTCTGGACCAATATCAGGCATCTTTTTCAGAGTTCACACAAGCTGTGGAAAATCACTCTGAAGTCATTCCGCCATGAGGGTCCTTGTATGTAAATGGGTGGAAACCCCACCTTCTAAAATTCTCACCCCTATCAGAAATAAAACCCCATCTCTGCTTCTAGTCTTGGGACAATCCATCAATATCCCATTAAGGTGGTTTTTGTTTGTCTGTTATTTTTCCTATTCCACTGTCATTAAAGTCTATGTCCTCTTCAAAAATAACATGAAATAGCCATAATTACCTTTGGTCAAGCTGAAATATACAGATGCAAGACAGGTAATGTAGATGAGGGATCCAGTCTAGGTGAGAGAACACATGGCTTGTCCAAAGCAGATGGGCTCACTCAATTCTAGCTCATGTCTGCTTTGAATGTGAACCCTTTGATGCCTAAACTTTGCTTTTTCAATAGAAGCAGAAGTTTCATATTTTTTATATGAAAGCCCTTTACTTTTAAGTATTGGTTCAAGTGGTTATAAAATCCTGTGTGGAATATACAAAGGATTTTATGTTTGTAGAAGTCTTTTCACTTGGCTTTTGGTGTAGGAGACTTGGCCTCTCTCCTAAGTCTTCTTTTTTAACTTTAAACACTTATAATGAGTATCATGCACAGCCAAGGCTTCACATACTATTTTCATGCTTACCTCTTGCTCAGCTGCACATTGAAGCACCTACTTGTTCCTCTTTGGTTGTCTTATAAACACTGACATGTAATATGTCTAAGTTTGAACTCAAGATCTTTCCCCCCAAATTGTTATTCTATTAAGTGCAACTTTAGTGCACTCAGTTCCTCACAAGAGCAAGGAGACAAACCCTGGAGTCCAGTCAATGTGAAAAGAATGGACAAAGATATCTGCATGAAATCAGGATGCCCAGAAGAAACATCCTTCATGTGTGGCCTAGAAATCAAACATATAAGTAAGTAAAAAAACACAAATTCAACAAGTAAAAACCAGTTCACAAAGGAAGAGTGTAAGAAAACTTATGTCTTGGCTTTCACTCTGGGTGAAGCAGAGGAAAAAATGGTCTCTGAGAATTACCACTGGAAGTTGTCCCTTGGGTGAATTTGAGGCTGGAATACATGCCATTGATGTCGGTGAAAAAACACCTATCATCCCATTTGTTTTCAAGTGACCCTGGGATGTATTGTTTTTAGCAGAAGCAGGTGCAAATTTTCTCTAAAGAAATGCATTTCATTTTGACTGACACAAGATTTGTGCATATAAAGTTATAAGGAATATAAACTCACATCTGAAATAATCAAACTCCCAAAGCAGTATGTTAACAAGAGTGAAAATATTTAATGAGTAAAAAGAAATAAAAGTGGGAATAAAAACTATGATTACATAGGATGTACATCAAAGTGTAACAGACAGATTTGTAAATGTGCCAAGTAAAATTTCTAGAAAAAGGAAATGTTATAATTGGAGTTGGAGTTCAGTTAGAATACAAGTAAAGAGAAAAATAGTAAACATAAAGATTCATTTGAAAATTTCCTTATGAACCACAGACAGAGAAAGTAAAAAAAAATATGAAAGAGCTCTTAAAACATGTAGGAGGTAGAACGAGAAAACCTAATTCCAGTTTAATGAGAAGTTCAGAAGGAATACATAGAGACAACAAAGATAGCAAGAAATTGAAGAGATAAACAAAGCTAGTATAAATATGTAAAATGAGACAAAATAGATATGAAAGTTAAAAAGCATTACCAAAGATGTAGGAGATTAATACAAACTGATAAAAGGTTCAATTCACCAGAAAGGTGTAATGAAACTAAACATGAATTGAGCATAGATAAAATATATTATGATAAGTACAAGAAGAAATTTAGAAGCCCATCTTCATTCTGGGAAATTTTTAAGCACCTCAGTCAGTAATTAATAGATCAATCAGATTAAGAAAATCAATAATTCTGGAAATTTGTATAACAAAATTAACAAGATTAATTTACTGATACCAAAATAACACTTTTTTCCAATAATTGGGTGATAGACATTCTTTTCTAACACATACAGAACACTTAAAAATGACATTTAAAATAAATTTTTGCTTGACAAATAGGAAAAACAAGTTACAAAGTATGAGAATATATTTTCCATCTACATAAGTGACAAAGGATTAATGTGGGTTTAGAGTTTTTCCACATTAATAAGAAAAAGACAATCCATTAGAAAGAAAATGGGCAAAGACCATGAATGTGCCAGTGAGAAGAGATAAAAACCAATGGCTAATAAACATAAGAAAAGATGCTCAATCTTTTCTCTCTCTCTCTCCCTCCCTCCCTGCCTCTTTCTTTCTTTTGGCAGGGTCTTGTTTTGTCAATCAGGCTGGAGTGCAGTGGCACAATCAGAACTCACTGCAGCCTCAAACCCCTGAGCTCAAGCAATCCTCCTGCCTCAGCCTCCCAAAGTGCTGGAATTACAGGTGTGAGCCGCCGTGCCCGGCCAAGATGCTCAATCTTACTGTTAATTAGAAAAATACAAATCAAAAGAAGGAGGTGTTGCCACCTACCTATCACACAGGCAAACATCAGTCCAGCTGGTAATGACGAGTGTTGAAGAGGATGTGGAGAAAAAAAAACTGTTATATACCACTGTAGGAATGTAAATTGGTACATCTACTTTGAGGAACAATTTGACAATAACCAATACATTTTAAAATACACAGACTCTCTGAGTCAGACCCTTTACTTCTAAGTGTCTACCCTGGAGAATTTCTTATACATGAAGACATATACAAAGATAATAATTGCAAGATTGTTCATCAGAGCATAAAAACAAAAAGAAACCTAATTGTCACTCAGGGAAATAGATGAATTATGGTTAATTCATATAATGAAACACTATTCAACAGTTAAAATGATAAACTTATGTGCATAAACACGGATAATCTTCAAAATATATAATAGTGAAAGTTGCAAAAGTGGTGTAGAGTATGGCTAGATTTATGCAAATATTAAGACAAAATAATTTGTCATATTTTGTTTATTAATATGCACATGTTGTAAAAGTACAGACACTCATGGAAATGATACACATCTCTGGGGAGGGAGTGAGGGGAAAAGGTTCCTGTTGGGACTTTAGAGGAATATGTATCATCTTCTTCTTATTCTTTTAGAAAGGTAAGGTCTAAAGTAAAGACAAAATGTTAACATCCATTTTAGTGTATATATATATATACACACACATACATATAGATACACATTATATTATTTTCTATCTTTTAAAGTGTGCTGCATAAATTAAAAAATTTTAAAACGAAAGTAGACAAAGAAAATGTTTTTGAAAACTCTACCAGTTGCATGTTTCTGGAAATAAAATTAGGACAGAGTTACCAGAATGGGCAACTATATTAAAAAATAGGGACCCAAGGAAAATGGAATTGATAATAATTTACAAGACAGCAGCTTCATTAAATTTTTGAGTGAGAAGCAAAATAGTCAGAAGCTCCCTGGAAAGGAGAAGAAGTAAAAGATAGATTGTATAGAATAAAACATCAAAAGGCCAAGAAGAGAAGTTTAAAAACAGAATACAATTGAATATTTACCAACATGACACTAAATAGTAGAAAGGGTAGGCAAATACCTAGGTTACATAAAATGGGCCGATTATGCATTTTAAAACCAATTTTAGAATCATTCCATTTGTAAGAGAGTGACAATTATCTTAAAGAATTCTTTAACATCAGTGACATATCTGAAGATTGATTTTATGCAAACAGATTTAGCAGCTAATAGACCAGTTGAGTGTTTATGAAGCAGTGTTAAAGAATGTTTAGTTTCTAAAGATGACATCCAAAATATCCATCTAATCATGCACAAGTGAATTGAATTCTTAACTGAAAATACATTTCCCCTTTAGCCTTAAGAGTAGGACTAAATTAATGTCATGTGTAAAAGATTGTGGGTACCCTAATGCTAAATTCAATGCTTATTTCTTGGCAACATTTAAAAAATGGGAGTATTTAAAAAATTATACAAATCTAAAATAAATGTGTTTGTGAAATAATAAGTATATTAAACTTAAACTTCTTGCTTAAAAATAGTACTATAATGAAAGATGACTTTAAAGACAGGTTAAATTTCTTATTATTTATAATCAATGATAATTGTGAACTAAGTATTAAAATGATTTACTTGCTAGTTATATATATGTGACCTATACTTATGACATTGTGAGGTATAGACTAGAGTTTTGACACTGCTATTTGTGTTTAGATAAGACTGAGTATGTTAGAGCTGTTTGGTGGCAATTATGATACCTGTAACTGCCATTGCAAACTTAGAATTAGACACCGCACTTTCAGTTCCATTCTGACTTTTCTTGCCTTTCACTTGCTGACATCATTGCCCACCATTTCTTTTTTTATGTTTTTTAAAAAACTTTTAAGTTCAAGGGTACATGTGCAGGTTTGTCACATAAGTGAACATGTATCATAGGGGTTTCTTATGCAGATTATTTTATCACCCAGGTATTAAGCCTAGTAACCATTGGTTATTTTTCCTGATCTTCTCCCTCCTCCCACTCTCCACCCTCCAATAGGCCTCAGTGTGTGTTTTCCCCCTGTATGTGTCCATGTGTTCTTATCATTTAGCTCCCACTTATAAGTGAGAACATGTGGTATTTGGTTTTCTGTTCCTGCACTAGTCTGCTGAGGATAATGGCCTCCAGCTCCACCCATGTCCCCGCAAAGGACATGATCTCATTCCTTTTTATGGCTTCATAGTATTCCATGGTATAAATGTACCACATTTTCTTTATCCAGTCTATCACTGCTGGGTATTCGATTGATTCCATGTCTTGGCTATTGTATATAGTGCTGCAATGACCATACATGTGCATGTGTCTTTATAATAGAACAATTTACATTCCTTTGGGTATACACCCAGTAACAAGATGGCTGGGTCCAACAGTATTTCTGTCTTTAGGTCTTTGAGGAAATGCCACGCTGTCTTCCACAGTGGTTGAACTAATTTTCACCCCCACCAACACTGTATAAGCATTCCTTTTCTCTAGTACCTTGCCAGAATCTGTTATTTTTTGACCCTTTTTTTTTTTTTTTTTTTTTGAGACGGAGTCTCACTCTGTTGCTCAGGCTGGAGTGCAGTGGTGCAATCTTGGCTCACTGCAAGCTCTGCCTCCCGGATTCACACCATTCTCCTGCCTCAGCCTCCCGAGTAGTTGGGATTACAGGTGTGTGCCACTATGACCAGCTAATTTTTATATTTTTAGTAGAGGCGGGGTTTCACCATGTTGGCCAGGCTGGTCTCAAACCCCTGGCCTCAAGTGATCTGCCCACCTTGGCCTCCCGAAGTGCTGGGATTACAGGCGTGAGCCACAGGACCCAGCCCTCTTTATTGTGGTTTCCATTTACATTTCTCTAGTGATTAGTGATAGTGAGATTTTTTTTTAATATGATTTTTGGCTGCATATATGTCTTCTATTGAGAGGTGTCTGTTCATGTCCTTTGCCCACTTTTTAATGGAGTTACTTGTTTTTTTCTTGTAAATATGTTTAAGTTCCTTATAGATGCTGAATATTTGACCTCTGTCAGATGCATAGTTTGCCAGAATTTTCTCCCATTCTGTGGGTTGTCTGTTTACTCTGTTGATAGTTTCTTTTGCTGTGCAGAAGCTTTTTAGGTTAACTAGACACCATTTGTCAATTTTTGCTTCTGTTGCAATTGCTTTTGAATGCCCACTATTTCAGTGTACTCAGAACATGTCCCCCAGGACTTCTCAAACATTAGTGAACATAGAATTGCAAGGGTATTTACTAGGAACACAGATTCCAGAACCCTATCCTAATAGATGCTGATTTGGAATATCCTTTGGAGTAGGATGCAGGTGCTCCACAAACCACATTTGGACCCCTTTCATTCATCTGCCTTACCATATTAGTTCCTAGCAATGGTAATTTCCATTATCTGCCTTTTCCTCTTCCAGAACTTAGCAGTACTACAAAAAGATCAAGACTTAACCAAGTGTTTCCACCACAAATTTGTGTCATTAAACATACGTATTTTATAGTCAAACAGACTTAGGTCCAAATCTTGACCCTGTTACATGCTAGTTATATTTTGCACAAATCATCAAATCCCTTTCAGCTGTAATTTCCTTATCTGCAACATGCAGACTCATTCATTATTCATTCATTCATCCAATGAACAAAGATATATATTTTAAATACATACTGTTGTAAGTACTGGTGATAGATTAATTAACAAGAACTAAGTGTAACTGTCTACATGGACTTTATATTTCATTAAAGATTCCTACTTAATGCAGACAGTTGTTAGAAGGATTGAATGAAAACATAAAAACATAATAATAGCTACCATACATAACAGTATTTAAGAGCCAGATAAGGTTTCAGGTGCTCTATATAATTACCTAATTTATTTCTTATAACAAAACCATGAGGTAAGTACTATTATTTTTGTATATAATATATATATATATATACAAAATTTTGTATATATTATATATATATAATGAAATTGAGCCACAGATAGTTTTTTATTCAAGGCCACTCACGTAACAAGTGGTAGAGCTGGAATTCCCACCCAAGTGGCTGGGTCCAGAATCAATGCTGTTAAGCTCTAATATAATGCCTATTCTTCTCAATGCAATTAAACTAGCAAAATTATAATGTACAGGTCAGATTTCTGAAGAAGTCAGAATAAATATAAAATATAAAATGCTCCGAAGCCAAAGTCTATAATTTGATCTGATAGTAACATTATTCAAGAAAGAAAATGTGTCAACAACAAGGAATTGTCCCAGTTTTCATTACAAAAAGGGCACCTTCCTGAGAACAAAAATTGGCAAGATTTATTCAGCACTTTCAGAGGAGAAACTCGATGTTAACCATAATAATAACAATAGCAATCATCCATATCAAACATTTACCATTTAGCCAGGCACTATACTAATTTCTTCTCACAATTCATCTTGACAATAACTTGCAAGGTATGTAATATGTTCATCTTACCAGATGAAGAAACTGAGGTTAGTAAGCATCTCCAGCCAGGTGGTTTGATCCCAGAATACACCTTCTTCATGACGACAAAGCACCATTTTTATACCAGCTGTACATTCAACCTGTAGGATACAAACTTACAGTTATTAAACATATCTGTTTCTTATAAGTAGCATATGAGCTGGGTAGAATATACTTAAAGACTATATAGCAAAATGTCAGTTAAAATGTGCTTTTCTCAGAGAGGCCTCCACTGGTCCCACCAACTAAGTAAATTCCTCTATTAATATTCTTTCATAGAACCCAATTTTATAATTATGATTTTAGTGCTTATTTCCTCTTCTAGGTGGTAAGATGCATGAGGTTGATCATTTGCTTTCATTTTTCAGTGCATTCTTGGTGCCTAGTATAGTTCCCGTTATGTGAATGGTTAGTGAAGAAATGAATGCCTGGATTCTATGTTTACTTTGTACATTTCCAGTCATTTGCCTGGTTTATCAGATTCTCTGGTGAAGGCAAAAATGCCGACACAAACATATTAAGCACTGGAAAAGGATATCCCTGTTACAAATCAAATAGCACAGGGAGAAGGTGTGTTTAAAATGAGCATATCTTGGTTGCTTGTGACATTTCTCTTTATTATTGTATTTGCTTTTTCATTTGTGTAACGGAACCTTGTGAGTTTGGTTAGTTTGATCTATCTCTGAGTGACCAATCAAATGACTAAATAAATTGAACACTAGACTCATCACTTTGTCCACTCACTCACTCTCTCAGGTGATGCCATCCTTGGCACATGGTCTAAACAACCACCCAAATTCTATTGCTGGAAACTCAACAGAGAGTCTAGGCATGAATTGAGGTACCAGCAAAGCACAGGCACTAACCACTAAACATCATTTCTTTTGAAATAATTTGATATTTCAAACATAAAGTACCAGAAATATTCATCATGTGAAATATCAGAACTTTGTTGAACTTCACTAGAAATAATTTGTGTTTTAATATTTTTCTAAAATTTTGATTTAGGTAGGGACGTATGGGTGGGACACCATATCAATTTAGTGTTTAGTGCTTCTAAAGCTATCCAGCCCTGAATTTCCTAGGGGCACAGCTTCTTCTTCTTATATCATATGTCAACACCTGCTTCCTCTCATTCTTAATATTATTATATCTTATTTTTTGCTTTTGTCTCTGAGAAAGAAGTACCCCAGTGCCTTGGCAAGGTGAACCTCCCCATCAGAATATTATTCTCAATGCAGTAGCTGATGTTTTCTTAGTGACTTTTTGATGTTCCATCTTCATTAGCTCCTATCCTAAACAAAAATTTTCTTGATCCCACTTCCTCCTCAATCTACTATTCTTCTTTACAAACTTCCTGTCATTTATATTTTGTGCTTCTTCTGCCTTAGTAGTATTTATTCCTTTGCAGCCAGACTTTCAACCAACCCCAGCATTTTCGTATGTTGTCCGTGAGCTCAGCCTTGCTTAAAACACCTGTCTTATGAGCAATTATTTCTTCCCTTAATTCAGTGATCAGCTTGCTTATCTTCATAAGTCCTTGCAATTGTGACTAACATTGTCTTACACATATAGTAAGTGCTCAATACACTTACTATTTAATAAATAAATTGTGTTATTTTTATATGTTTAGGATTTTTGTCTTAATTATTATAAGGCATTTCAAAGTATCTTGCTGTGTGTGATTTCAAAGTAACTTAAAATTAGAACAGGTATAAAAATCAAACCTATTTGAATTACATAAAAAGACTGAGAAAAAAATATAGCCAGAACTGGATTCTTTTAAGATTAAAAGGATATTCCATGTTTTCTTTTTAAATCATGCCTACATATTTTATACATCATAAATTCATTGTATTTTTAATTCTGTAAAAATGTAAGTTTCTTAACTTTTCAGTATTATGGGAGTTATACAATTCAGAGATTCTTCAGAGAAAGTAATTTTGGTGAAGTTTCAATCTCCCTCTTTTTTTTCTATATTAAGAAGCTCAGGAAAGAAGTTAATTTTAAATATGAATACCCTTTTAACTTTAATTTTATATTTATCTGCACATTCTCTCTTTCTCTCTTACTCTCTTTTCTTGAGATGTAATTTACTCACCATCAAATTGACCCTTTGTGTGTGTACTTTATGTATATTAACAAATGTATGCAATCATATCACCACCACCACAATCAAAATAGAGAATATTTCTATCATTCCAAAAAGTTCTGTTATGTCTCACTTATAGTCAATATCTCCCCTCTACCTTGCAGCCCTTGACAACCCTGATGTAAAAATATAAATGCCTTTTTGTTTCTAAAGCACATTTGGGGAAATTTTACTTAAGATGTAAGTATCCCTGTTAAGTCAAGAATTGAATAGATACAGTTTTAACATCCTTAAAATGTACCTGCTAGCATTATGCTGTAAGAAAGATACTTCAGAAAACAAAATTTAAACAAGTAATACAAAATACTGTTACTTCTGTGATTATGTGATATAACATTCAGTCTATGGTTGAGAAATTGCCTAATTTATGGCATCAAGCTCTGTGACTCACAGAGTAGCAGGGGTTGAAAAACACTTTTTCATGCCTCGATGTTTTTCTCTTCTTCTTTTGGGCAGGGCTAGGGGCAATGAGTTGATTTCAGCTTCAGTAATTTTTTTCTTTTTTCTTTTTTCTTTTTTTTTTGTCTAAGCAAAAAGTTTTCACTTGTCCTAAAGTGATACAGTAGTGATTCATAAGTTAATATGCCTGACAACTGAAAATCACAGAACATGTCAAATTATACCAAAGATTGGAAGAAAGAGACATTTTTAAATTGAACTTAAATATTCAACTAAGGATATGTTTTGTCCTTTTAATGACCGGCATATTGGTGGGGAAGGGTGTTAAATGGAAGTTTTGGATAGTGAAATTAATTGCCAAAAAAGACATACTTTGGGATGGCATGTCTCTTTCATATGCTTATCTTTGGGAACTGTCTGCCATATACCCTGTAAAAGGGAAGAGATTACTATGTTTATAGCACAAGGTCCATTTTCCTCTGAGCAGGTCTAATGGGATTGGGGTAGATCTAATCCAATGTTTGATCAGTCACAAATCAAATTATATTTTATCACATTGAAATGAAGTAGAAACTACAGTCAGACAATGGTGAGATCCAGAAAACCAAAGTTCACATACTTAATTCAACTGTGTTAGATGCCTTTGAATATTTTCCTTTTTAATCGATATTTTCCTTTTTTGATTTATGTGAACAGATTTTTCCTTCTTCTTCTCTGACACTACTCAGTCGCTGTGGTTTGCTCCATATCCTCACTTCTTATGTGTCTATTTTGTCTTTAGTTCTCTTCTTTTCTTTCTCTATAGTTTTGCCTTAGCTTAGGCAAACTTTCTATTTCAGTACTTATGTGGATAAGTCTCTATCTTTGGTCCTAAACTCTCAGTAACTCTAGATCTCCAATTTTCCAGCTTCTTCATAAATAGCTGTTTGTAGATTTCTCACAAGTATCTTCAACTCACCACGCTCTTAAGAAATCTTCTACCATACACGTTAGTTGCTTAGTACACAAATGCTTAATTGAATTGAACTGTGATCATTCACAGTGGAAAGAAAAATGGAATGTAAGTTTTTGAATTGGGCCTTAATGGCTAATTACTGGAAAAGAGGAAAGAGGAAAGAATCTTCCAAATGTAGAGAAGACAATGAGGTACAAAACCAGGTATAAACATTATAAAGTCCTAGAAGAGTGAGACTGGCCTGTCAAGGATAGAAAGAAATTGGTGGGAAGTAAAGTTGGGTAGTTAAGAGTGGGGCAAAATGTGGCAGAATTTGAAAGCAGAGAAGTTTAAACTTGATGTTTAAAACAAAATGGTATTCCTTAATGACTTTGGAGTAGAAGATATAATGGGCATTTGTTGGTTTCTTATCTGGCCTTCATTCTTTGCTCCACTCTTTCTAACAGTTTTTAGAATTTCATTCTTCTGAATGGAGTCCGTATGTTTAAATAGAAAGTAACTTCACCTTTAACTTCAGGGGTCAGCATGTGGCCTAAATTTCTCCAGCCAGAATGAACCTGAGAAATTCTGTTCAGAATCATTTTCTTGTGTGTAGAACTGTCCCCAATTTGTGCTATAGCCGTGACATAAATATGCTAGAAGACAGCCAGAAAAAGCTGAGAGAAGGCTAGGATGATCTTTATCTCCCAGCTAGAAAATATTTCTGAAAATTTTGAAGTATTAAAAAAAATTTTCAAAAAAGATAATTTTTGAAAAATACTAATAAACATTTTTGGTATAATACTATTCATTCACCTATAAATCACTTTACTTGGAGGGAACACAAAAGGATTATTATATATTATGTCTTATCTTGGGAAAACACAAATGTACTAGGTATGATTCCACATGTTCAAGAAATGAAATATATTGACCTAAGGAATTGCATTTCTTTTAACGCTTCTGTAAATCTTAGTGTTAATAGAACTAAATGGAGAAATGTATTAACTCCATTTTTATTTCCAAGTCTTTAGTGTTAATTTTATTTCCTTTCGTGTTACACTTTTGTCTTAAGAGTTCACAAAGTTTCTCATGATCAGTGGTGTTCTGGAGCTGGCACATATAACCTATCACATTAAAAATCAAAGGTAATAAATACTCAAAACCCAGCACTTCCTAAATATTGTATACATTTTAGTATCACCTATGTTGTCTAGGTAATTTTCCTTACTGAATCTATATGGTAGCAATAATACATAATCATGAGCTATTGAGCATCTCTTCTCAACTCTGTTCAGTGATACTGCATTAGTAGTTTGAAATGGGTCATGGTGAGAGTATTCATATCACTTAACCCACAGAGCAGGCAAATGCTATAAATCAGGGCTTGATTAATTGTTTTGTTTATTGTCTTTATTTAAGAAAGTGATACAGGAAACATTAATAATGCAGATTAAACTTAAAAGTGAGTCATGTCTGGAGACATTATACTGTGCAGCACAAAAAATTGAGAAAATAGTTTTCTAACACTTAAAAACTGTTACCTGATTCAGCATATACATCACTCACATAATAGATGAAGGAGGAAAGTTCTGACATTGGTCTTGCTGTTTCACGTTTATCTTTTTAAAATTTTTACTTGTTGTTTTGAGACAGTCTCACTCTGTTGCCCAGGGTAGAGTGCAGTGGTGTGATCACGGTTTACTGCAACCGCCGCCTCCTGGGTTCAAGTAATCCTCTCACCTCAGCCTCCCAAGTAGCTGGGACTAGAGGCACCCTTCACTACACCTAACTAATTTTCTTTGTATTTTTTTTTTTTTTTTGGAGAGATGGAGTCTCGCTATGTTGCCGCACTCGTGTCAAATTCCTGGCCTCAAGCAATCTGCCTGCCTTCACCTCCCAAAGTGCTGGGATTACAGGCGTGAACCACCGTGTTAGGGCCACTTTTATCTTAATGGGTTAAAAAAAATAAAAAAGGAAAGAAAAATCGCAGCCAATATTCACATCAGAACCACATGTATTTGTCAATTGCAGCTATGGGTTGGCTATGATTACAAGAGTTAGGAAAAATCAACAAAAGCTTACACATTCTTATATACTCAAAAGTTATTACAAGATGATGTACACACATACACACACGCACCCTCTTTTGTTTTGTTTTGTTTTGTTTGTTTTATTTTGTTTTGTTTTGAGACCCAGTTGTTAAACATTTACCAGCACTCCACTGGCTGCAACTTTCTATTTCATTTTCTATTTCATTGATTGAAGGTATAATTAGAAAGATAAGAACTTTTCAACAAAGCTTAAGATGTCTTCAGTATGAGAAAGCAAGCATACATGGGATCATTTTCTTGTAGAAATCATTGTAAAGCTTCAACTGCTCTCCTTGACATATAGGAACAGTAAGAACTTGACGCTGTAAAGCATTGCACAAAAATCAACCTTCCTACTGTGTAGCTGAAAGAAATTGCCTTTGGTAGTAAACAATAGTGTAGCAATAGCTAAATATTTCATGAAGAACTTTTTGTTACTTTTAAAAATTGATAAATATTTGTCAACTTGGAAAGAGTCCAAGAAATACAAACTATTTTTTTTACTTTTCTGCTTGATTTTGTTTCTTGTTTCCTGATATTTTTATACCATCTACCTCCTCTATGGTAATTCTGCCCCCTGCTGGAAATGGGTAGATGATAATTTCCCCCCGACTAGGAATTCAAACTATTAAAATACTGTAAAAACATTTAAAAAAAAAATAGAGAAACATTTTCTTAGTAGTGCCCTCAGGTCAATGAGCTTTTCATATAACAGTACTGTATTTGTCATTATAGAAATTAACAT